>NW_017852928.1:300000-551020 GCF_000001405.40 Homo sapiens
CTCTATGCAAATGAACTAGAAAATCTAGAAGAAATGGTTAAATTCCTGGACACATACACCCTCCCAAGACTAAACCAGGAAGAAGTCGAATTCCTGAATAGACCAATAACAAGTTATGAAATTGAGGCAGTAATTAATAGCCTACCAACCAAAAAAAGCCCAGGACCAGATGGATTCACAGCCAAATTCTACCAGAGGTACAAAGAGGAGCTGGTACCATTCCTTCTGAAACTATTCCAAACAATAGAAAAAGACAGAATCCTCCCTAACTCATTTTATGAGGCCAGCATCATCCTGATACCAAAACCTGGCAGACACACAACAAAAAAAGAAAATTTCAGGCCAATATATTTGATGAACATTGATGTGAAAATCCTCAGTAAAATACTGGAAAACCAAATCCAGCAGCACATCAAAAAGCTTATCCACCACGATCAAGTCGGCTTCATCCTTGGGATGCAAGGCTGGTTTAACATACAGAAATCAATAAATGTAATCCATCACATAAACAGAACCAATGACAAAAACCACATGATTATCTCAATAGATGCAGAAAAGGCCTTCAATAAAATTCAACACCACTTCATGCTAAAACCTCTTAATAAACTAGATGTTGATGGAGCATATCTCAAAATAATAAGAGCTATTTATTTCAAACCCATAGCCATTATTATACTCAATGGGCATAAGCTGGAAGCATTCCCTTTGAAAAACAGCACAAGACAAGGATGCCCTCTCTCACCACTCCTATTCAACATAGTACTGGAAGTTCTGACCAGGGCAATCAGGCAAGAGAAAGAAATAAGAGGTATTCAAATAGGAAGAGGGGAAGTCAAATTGTCTCTGTTTGCAGATGACATGATTGTATATTTAGAAAACTCCATCGTCTCAGCCCCAAAACTCCTTAAGCTGACAAGCAACTTCAGCAAAATCTCAGGATACAAATTCAATGTGCAAGCATCACAAGCATTCCTATACACCAATAACAGACAAACAGAGAGCCAAATCATGAGTGAACTCCAATTCAGAATTGCTACAAAGAAAATAAAATACCTAGGAATACAACTTATAAGGAACGTGAAGGACCTCTTCAAGGAGAACTACAAACCACTGCTGAAGGGAATAAGAGAGGACACAAACGAATGGAAAAACATTCCATGCTCATGGATAGGAAGAATCAATGTCATGAAAATGGCCATACTGCCCAAAGTAATTTATAGATTCAATGCTATTCCCATCAAGCTACCATTGACTTTCTTCACCAAACTAGAAAAAACTACTTTAAAGTTCATATGGAACCAAAAAAGAGCCTGTATAGCCAAGACAATTCTAAGCAAAAAGAACAAAGCTGGAGTCCTCACACTACATGACTTCAAACTATACTACAAGGCTACACTAATCAAAACAGCATGGTACTGATAGCAAAACAGATATATAGACCAACGGAACAGGGCAGAGGCCTCAGAAATAACACCACACGTCTACAACCATCTGATCTTCAGCAACCTGACAAAAACAAGCAATGGGGAAAGGATCTTTCTTATCAAAATTAGCCTAGTTTTTTTTTTTTAAAGAAGAACTTTTATTTTAGATTTTAGATTTTCTTAATTTCAACTGAATTTTTGATTTTCTTAATTTCCACTGTATATTTTTAGAAACTTGATTGCAATTACGTTTGTCTTGGTTTGGGCTGCTATAAAAAATTACCATGGTCTAGGTGATTTAAACAACAAACATTTATTTCTCACAGTTCTGGAGGTTAGAAATTTGAGATCAGGGTGCTGATATAGTCAGGTTCTTGGTGAGTGCACTTTTCCTGGTGTACAGAGGGCTGTCTTCTTTCTATTCCCTCACATAGTGGAAAGAGAGCTAGCTAGACCTCTGGTGTCATCTTTTAAGGGCACTAATTCCAATTATAGTGGATCCACTCTCATGACCTAATTATCTCCCAAAGGCCGCAACTCCAAATATCATCACATTTCGATTAGGATTTCAATATATGAATTTGGAGACATACGTTTCATTCATTGCATTCTGCCCCTGGCTCCCCCAAATTCATGTTCTTCTCACATGCAAAATAAACCCATTCCATTCCAACAGCCCCCAAATACTTAACTTGTTCTGGCATTAACTTTAAAAGTCTGAAGTACAATGTCTCATCTAAATATCACATAAATTGGATATGGGTAAGATTTGAAGTACAATTCATCCTGAGGCAAATTCCTCTCCAGCTGTGAACCTGTGAAAGTAAGCAATTTATGTGCTTCCAAAATATACAGGAATAGGAGAGACATTCCCATTCCAAAAGGGAGAAAGAGGAAAGAAGGAAAGGAAAAATGGGTCCTAGGCAAGTTAATAGCAAGGCAAGCTCTGTGAGATCTTAAGGCTCAAGAATAATCATTTTGATGTTCTACTCTCTGGACTCATGGTGGCAATGGTTCCTCTTTTATACCTCTGCCCAGTGGGGGTGGTGTCCCAGTGGGTCCCAACAGCCCTGCCCCATGGCTCTGCTGCGTGTTGGTCCCACCGTTTGAAACTGAGGTGGAGGCAGCCCCATTCTCTGGCTCAGCCCATGGCACTCTGGGCCAATGGTGGAAGTGGCAGCTCTGTGGATTTCTGAATCTCCTTTGGGGTCCTTCTTCTCTTGTTTTGGATAGTGCATGTTTTCTGCTCAGTGGTTGAGTCCTGTAGTCCTGAAGTTCTAAGAAGTCTGATGGTCTTCCTTAATTGTATCCTATTTTCTCTCTTTCCTTTAGTCTCAGCTGGCATTTCTGCTAGAATTGCCCCATCTCTGTTCCTGGTTTCTGTTGAGATGGCTGATGAAGTCCATGGTTCACACTTACACGAATCTCCTTTTCAAGTGGTTAGTTCACCACACCCTTAGTGTTCTCTTCTGAACATGCTTTTTAAAAATTTTTTTGTAACATTAACAGTTCAGAAATTTTCAAATATTTAAGTTCTGGTTCCTTTTTGCTTAATGATTCCATCTTCAACTTATTTCTCTCTTACCTTTTTCTATAAGTGATCGGGAAGAAGTAAGCCACTCCTTCAACACTTTGCCTAGAAATTTCCTCCACTAAGTATCCAGTTTCATCACTTACAAGTTCTACATTCCACAAAACACTAGAACATAAACACAATTCAGCCAAGTTTTTTACCACTTTATAACAAGGATGGGCTTTCCTCTAGTTTCTAATAACATGTTTCATCATTTCCATTTGAGGCTTTATCATGAATGGCCTCTACTATCCATATTTCTACTAACACGATTCATAATTATGTACTGTCTTAAGAAGACAGAAGCTTTCTGTACAGCTCTCCTCTTTTATTTCTGAGCCATAATCACAATTGCCTTTAAAATCCCGTCATGGCAACATTGACATTTTCTAGCATGTACTTCACAATTCTTGCAGCCTCTACCCATTACCCACTTCCAAGATTGCTTCCACACTTTAATGTACTTGTTATTGCAGTGCCTCATTTCTCAGTACCAATTTCTGTCTTAGCCAGTTCATGCTGCTATATGTACTGGGCTACTTAAAGTTCAGGCATTTATTTTTCAGAGTTCTGAAAGCTGGAAGTCCTAGATCAGGTTGCCAGCATGGTTGGGTTCTTGGGGAATGCCCTTTTCCTGGCTGACAGAGAGCCGTCTTCTTGCCATCCTCATACAGTATGGAAAGGTAGCTAGCTAGCTGTCTGGCTTCTTATGAAGGCTTCTGATGTAATTATTTTTCAAAGACCCCACCTCCAAATACCATCACACTGGGATGAGGGTTTCAACATTTGAACTGACGGTGAAGCAGGACACAAACATTCAGTCCATTGCAGCAGTGAATTTATAGAATAATTTGGGTAAAACAGGTATCTTCATAATTTTAAGTTACTCTATCCACAAACATGATCAAATTATCTCTATTCAGATTTCTTGTTATATTATTTAACAGAGGTTACATTTTTTTCCCTGAAATGGTCTTCTGTCCTCTTTGTTAGGTTAAATCTTAGATGCTGTATAGATTTTGCCACTTTTGTGAATGTATCTTCTTTCCTATTAAATTTTCCACTTGATTATTTCTGCTTTGAGAAACTCCTTTTTGTAAGTTGATCTTCTATCTGGTACTTTGCTGAACTCTCTTATTTATTATAACAATTTGCCACCTAATACTTTTGTTTTTCCTTGTTTATGACCATATTCTTTTAATAACAATATTATTTCTTTTATTTTAGTTCCCATATGAAAACAATTCTTTTTAGCTTATATCTTTGGCTAGAATCTTCAGTACTGTGTTAGATAGCAGCAGGGATGGCAATCATTATTTCTTATTCATGAAGCATTTTTTTAAATGCTTCTAAAATTTCTTCTATTAAGTATGATGCTTGCTATGTTGTTGTTCTTATAATTATTAGCAAACTAAGGAAGTTTTCAGAATTTTAAAAATATAATTATTTAAATATATTTATATAACATAAAATTCACCCATTTTAAGAGTGCAAATAAATTCAATTATTTTAGTAAATTAAGAGAACAGTACAACAATCACCATAATCCATTTTTAGAACATTTCCATTATCCCCAAAATTCCTGGTACATGTTTACAGTTAATCTCTACTCTTCCACCTATCCCTGGGCAACTGCTCTTTACTTTCAGTCAGATACATATTTTTTAATGATAAATCGGTGATGAGATTTATTAAATAACTTTTTTGCATCCATGGAGATAATTTCCAAGAAGCAGTGCAGTATAGCATACTGGTTGAGAGACAGACTCTGAAACTACACTTCCTAGGCTCAAATTATAACATTGACAATGATTGTCTGTGTAACTTGGGCAAGTTATTGAATCTCTCTGTGCTTCAATTTCTTCAGTAAAATGAGAATAATGATAGCTATCTATTAGTTGAACTATAGGAAATTTCTGATATCCAACTATTTTTGACCTACAAGAATGGTAATTTGCAGAAAGTCCCCATCAGCGAGCAGGCTCTCACAGATGTGTCCCCTCAACCTTGGACTTCTCAGCCTCCATAATTGCATGAGCCCAATGAATGAATTCCTGTAATAAACTCTATCTATCTATCTATCTATCTATCTATCTATCTATCTATCTATCTATCTTATATCTATCCATCCATCCATCCTATTGGTTTTGTCTTTCTGGAGAGCCCTAACTAATACAGAGTGCTTCCATGTTTTCACCATTTCATGTTTTCTGAAGGATGTATTTTATGTTTTTTTCAAACTACTAGTACCTGTATTCTATGAGTTTTTCTTTCCTAGGTCCAACTGATACCATATATATTTTGATATATAGTGTTTTTATTGTCATTCAGGCACCATTTATTTTACAACTTCTCCCTGAGATTTCCTCTTTAATCCTAGGATTAATTAGGTAATATCTTTATTTTATGTGTGTGCATAATTTTCTGGCTGAGGGTTTTCTTTTAAAGACATCCTTTTGTTATGTATGATATTGAAATATAGTCAGGAATTATAGAGGGTATGATATAGATTCCTGGGAATTTATTGTGGCTTCATTTGTTGCCTATTAAATGGTCAGTTTTAAAAAATATGTTCTATGCATGTGTCCTAAAAATTAATGTATATTTTTTGCTTGTTGGATGTAAATTTCTATATAAATCAATTAAGCTAAACCTTATTATTTTATATGCATTATAATTTTTATTCTGTTTGATCTATAAAATTCTGAGAAGAATATTTTAAAATTAGCAAGTATAGTTGCTAATTTATTTCTTCCTGTAGTTCCACTGGTTGTTGCTGAAAATATTTTGAGCCTGTGTGGTTAACGTGTATATATGTTCATAAATTTTATATCTTTTTGATTAGTTGTTCCTTTTAACAATCTCTCATGATGGTTTTTCTTCTGAAGTTCAATCTGTATCTTCTCCTAAACAATATAGGTGTACTTCAATGTACTCTTACTTCCATTTGTTTTTTGCCATAACCCATATTTCCTTGGTATTATCTAGAATTTTAGTGGATTTTATTGGATATAGTTGCGTTTGTATGGTGTGTATATTTGCCTTTTTTAAAAAAATAATAAATTTTAGCTTACTTTATTTATCTTTACTTCTCATTTATCTTCTAATGTTCTTCTGGGTTTATTTCTCTCTTTGCTGGAGTGCCTCTTCCAAGAGTGTTTTCAAAGAGGGTCTTTGGGCGCTAAGTCTGCTGAGATATTCAATAGATACTGTTCTTGTATGTTTGCTTTTAGGTGATTTTTTTTGTTTGTTTTTTTTTGTTTTTGAGACGGAGTCTCACTCCTTCACCCAGGCCGGACTGCAGTGGCACTATCTCAGCTCACTGCAAGCTCCGCCTCCCAGGTTCACGCCATTCTCCTGCCTCGGCCTCCTGAGTAGCTGGGACTATGGGCGCCCGCCACCGCGCCTGGCTAATTTTTTGTAGTTTTAATAGAGACGGGGTTTCACCATGTTAGCCAGGATGGTCTCGATCTCCTGACCTCGTGATCCGCCCACCTCGGCCTCCCAAAGTCCTGGGATTACAGGCGTGAGCCACCGCACCCAGCCCGGTATTTTTGTTTAAAATTCTAGATTAAAAGTTTCTTTAATTGATTGGTTTGAAAATATTATTGCATTGCCTTCTTACATCGTATGACCTCAATTGGATTCTTGTTTGTACAGTCGTCCCTAGGTATCCACGGGCATTGGTTCCAGGATCCCACTCTCCACCCCAACACCTGCTGTCAATACCAAAATCTGTGCATACTCTAGTCCCGAAGTTGCCTTGGTAGAACCTGGTATATGAAAAGTCAGCCTTTGGTATTAGCAAATTGCACATCTTATGAATACTGTAGTTTCAGTCTGTTTGGTTGTAGACACAAACCCACAGATACAGAGGGCCAACTGTATTTATTGCAAAAAATCTTTGTATAAGTGGACCTACACAGTTCAAACCTGTGTTGTTCAAGGGTCAGCTGATTTGTTCTTTATCTCAGAACACTTAAAAAACTTTTTCTCTCCTTGTCTTTGATGTTTTAAAATTTCATTACAATGCATTTGGATGGTCAGGAGTGGTGGCTTACACCTGTAATACCAGCACTTTGGGAGGCCAAGGTGGGCAGATCTCTTGGGCTCAGGAGTTGGAGGCCAGCCTGAGCAGCATGCCGAAACCCCACCCCCATCAAAAAAATACAAAAATTACCCAGGCCTGGTGGTCAGGAGGGTCAGAAGGGGGAAGTGGGAGAATCATCTGAGCCAGGGAAGTCAATGCTGAAGTGAGCGATGATAGTGCCACTGCACTCCAGCCTAGGTGATGGGAGTGAGACCTTGTCTCAAAAAAAAGAAAACAAAACGAAACAACAACAACAAAACTATATATTTATAATGTATGTATATAATGTATATATGTATATGTATAATGTATATATAATGTATTTATAATATATATGTAATGTGTATATATAATATGTGTATATATATAATGTATATAATACATTTAGGTAAGCTTTTCTCAAATATTTTTTCTGAGCCCTTCCAATATGAGGTGCTTCATCTCTCTCCAATTCTGGAAAATTCTTGGTTATTATTCTTATATTTTCTTGACATTTATTTTTTCTACTTTTTAAAGACTTACATAGAAGTTAACCTTTCTTGTTCTATCTTCACAGTCTCTTAACTTTTCATTTCTAATCTCTGTGCCTTTCTTCCTGCCTGATGTTTTCTGGGAGAGTTCCTTTACTTGACCATTCTTTGGCTGTAGTCATTCGGCTATTTATTCCATCGGTAGGTTTTATTATTATATATTTCATGTCTAATATTTCTACTTGGTTCTTCTTTATACCTTAATGCCTGCATTTTGTGAATAATATGCAATATAGCTCCAATATTTTGGAGAATGTTTATTATATTTATTATGTGTATTTAAATTCTTGATTTGTCTACCTATTAATCCTAATAGATAATGTAGTAGAGGTTCAGTTTGTGGTCTTTCTTTTTACAGGAGTTATGGATTTCTTTTTTTAAAATTTTATTTTAGGTTCAGGGGTATATGTGCAGGTTTTTTAATATAGGCAAACTATTGTCATGGGGGTATGGTGTAGAGACCATATTGTGACCCAGGTACTAAGATAGTACCCAATAGTTATTTTTCCTTCTCCCACTCTCCTTCCTCAAGCAGGCTCCAGTATCTGTTGTCCCGTTAGTGCCCACTGGTTCTTATTATTTAGCTTCCATTTATAAGTGAGAACGTGAGGTATTTAGTTTTCTTTTCCTGCATTAGTTTGCTAAGGATATTGGCCTCCAGCAACATCCATATTTCTGTAAAGAACATGATTTTGTTTCTTTTTTAGGGCTGCATAGTATTCCATGATATATATGTACCACATTTTCTTTATCCAGTCTGCCCTTGATGGGCATTTAGGTTGTTTCCATGTCTTTGCTATTGTGCATAGCACTGCAGTGAACATACATGTGCATGTGTCTTAGAATGATTATATTTTTTTGGGCATATACCCAGTAATGGGATTGCTGAGTTGAATGGTAGTTCTGTTTTAAGTTCTTTGAGGAATTGCCACACTGCTTTCCACAATGGTTGAACTAATTTACATTCCCACCAGCAGTGTATAAGCATTCTCTCTTCTCCACAACCTCACCAGCATCTGTTATTTTTTTTAATTATAGCCATTCTGACTGATGTGAGATGGCATCTCATTATGGTTTTGATTTTCATTTCTCTAATGATTGGTGATTGTATTAGTCCATTTTCACACTGCTGATAAAGACATACCCGAGACTGGGAAGAAAAAGGTTTAATTGGACTTGGAGTTCTACATGGCTGGGGAGGCCTCAGAATCATGGCAGGAAGTGAAAGGCACTTCTTACATGGTGGTGGCAAGACAAAATGAGGAAGAAGCACAAGCAAAAACCCTTAATAAACCCATCAAATCTTGTGAGACTTATTCACTATCATGAGAATAGCACGGGAAGGACCAGCCCCCATGATTCAATTACCTCCCCCAGGGTCCCTCACACAACACATAGAAATTCTGGGAGATACAATTCAAATTGAGATTTGGGTAGAGAAACAGCCAAACCATATCATTCTGCCCCTGGTGCCTCCAAATCTCATGTCCTCACATTTCAAAACCAATCATGCCTTCTCAATAGTCCCCCAAAATCTTAACATTTTAGCGTTAACCCACAAGTCCACAGTCCAAAGTCTCATCTGAGAAAAGGCAAGTCCATTCCGCCTATGAGCCTGTAACATCAAAAGCAAACTAATTACTTCCTGGATACAATGGAGGTACAGGTATTGGGTAAATACAGCTGTTCCAAATCAGAGAAATTGACCAAAGCAAATGGGTTATAGGGCCCATGTAAGTCCAAAATCCAGTGAGGCGGTCAAATTTTAAAACTCCAAAATGATCTTCTTTGACTCCAGGTCTCACATCCAGGTCATGCTGATGTAAGAGGTGGGTTCCCATGGTCTTGGGCAGCTCAGCCCCTGTGGCTTTGCAGGATATAACTTCCTTCCCAGCTGCTTTCATGGGCTGGCATTGAGTGTCTATGGCTTTCGCAGGCACACAGTGCAAGCTGTCAGTGCATCCACCATTCTGGGGTCTGGAGGACAGTAGCTGTCTTCTCACAGCTCCACTAGGCAGTGCCTTAGTAGGGACTCGGTTTGGGGGCTCCAACCCCACATTTCCCTCCTACAGTGCCCTAGCAGAGGTTCTCTGTGAGGGCTCTGCCCCTGCAGCAAACTTTTGCCTGGGCATCCAGGCGTTTCGATACATCTTCTGAAATCTAGGTAGAAGTTCCCAAACCTCAGTTCTTGACTTCTGTGCACCCGCAGGCTCAACACCACATGGAAGCTGCCAAGGCTTGGGGCTTCCACCTTCTGAAGCCACAGCCTGAGCTGTATATTGGCCCATTTCAATCATGGCTGGAGCAGCTGGGACACAGGTCACTAAGTCTCTAGGCTGCATGCAGCATGGGGACCCTGGGCCTGGCCCAGGAAGCCAGTTTTTCCTTCTGGGCCTCCAGGCCTGTGATGGGAGGGGCTGCCTTGAATGTCTCTGCCATGGCCTGCAGACATTTTTCCCATGGTCTTGGGGATTAACATTAGGCTCCTTGCTACTTATGCAAATTTCTGCAGCTGGCTTGGATTTCTCCCAAGAAAATGGGGTTTTCTTTTCTATCGCATAGTCAGGCTGCAAATTTTCAAACTTTTATGTGCTGCTTCCCTTATAAAGCTGAATGCCTTTAACAGCACCCAAGTCACCTCTTGAATGCTTTGCTGCTTAGAAATTTCTTCCATCAGATACCCTAAATCATCTCTCTCAAGTTCAAAGTTCCAGAAATCTCTAGGGCAGGGGCACAATGCCTCCAGTCTTTTTGCTAATACATAACAAGAGTCACCTTTACTCCAGTTCCCAAAAAATTCTTCATCTCTATCTGAGATCACCTCAGCCTGGACCTTATTGTCCATATCACTATCAGCATTTTGGGCAAAGCCATTCAAAAAGTCTATAGGAAGTTCCAAATTTCCCCACATTTTCTTATCTTCTTCTGAGCCCTCCAAACTGTTCCAATCTCTGCCTGTTACCCAGTTCCAAAGTTGTTTCCACATTTTTAGGTATATTTTCAGCAATGCCCCACTCTACTGGTACCAATTTATTGTATTAGTGCTTTTTCACACTGCTGATAAAGACATACCCAAGACTGAGAAGAAAAAGAGGTTTAATTGGATTTACAGTTCCACATGGCTGGAGAGGCCTCAGAATCATGGTGGGAGGTGAAAGGCACTTCTTACATGGCAATGGCAAGAGAAAATGAGGAAGAAGCAAAAGTGGAAACCCCTGATAAACCCATCAGATCTTGTGAGACTTATTCAATATCACAAGAATAGCACAGGAACGACCAGCCCCCATGATTCAATTACCTCCACCTGGGTCTCTTCCAGAACACATGGGAATTCTGGGAGTTACAATTCAAGTTGACATTTGGGTAGGGACACTGTCAAACCATATTATTGATATTGAACATTTTTTCATATGCTTGTTGGCCATGTGTATGTCTTCTTTTGAAAAGTGCCTGTTCATGTCCTTTGTCCACTTTTTAATGAAGTTATATTTTTTTTCTTGTAAATTTAAGTTCCTCATAGATGATAGATATTAGACCTTTGTCAGATGTATAGTTTGCAAATACTTTTTCCCATTCTGTAGGTTGTCTGTTTACTCTGTTGATAGTTTCTTTTGCTGTGCTGAAGCTCTTTAGTTTAGTTAGATCCCATTTGTCAATTTTTGCTTTTGTTGCGATTGCTTTTGGTGTCTTCATCATGAAATCTTTGCCCTTTCCTATATCCAGAATGGTATTTCTTAGGCTATCTTCCAGGATTTTTATAGTTTTATGTTTTACATTTAAAATCTTTAATTCATCTCAAGTTGATTTTTGTATACGGTGCAAAGAAGGGATCCAGTTTCAATCTTCTGCACATGGCTAGCCAGTTATCCCAGCACCATCTATTGAATAGGGAGTCCTTTCCTCATTGCTTGTTTTTGTCAACTTTTTCAAAGATCAGGATAGTTGTAGGTGTGTATCCTTATTTCTGGGCTCTCTATTCTGTTCCCTTGGTCTGTATGTCTGTTTTTGTACCAGTGTCTTGCTGTTTGGTTACAAGAGCCCAGTAGCATAGTTTGAAGTTGGGTAATGTGATGCCTCTAGCTTTGTACTTTTTGCTTAGGATTGTCTTGGCTATGTAGGCTCTTTTTTGGTTCCATATGAATTTTAAAATAGTTTTTCTCTAGTTCTGTCATTGGTAGTTTGACATTGGAAGAATGTCATTGGTAGTTTGACTGAACAGCATTGAATCTATAAATTGCTTTGGGCAGTATAGCCATTTTAACAAGACTGATTCTTCCTATCCATGAGAATGAATGTTTTTCTATTTGTTTGTGTCATCTCATTTCTTTGAGCAGTCTAATTGTAGAGATCTTTCACCTCCCTGGTTAGCTATATTCCTGGGTATTTTGTTCTTTTTGTGGCAGTTGAGAATGGCATTTCATTACTGATTCCACTATTGGTTTGGATGCTGTTGGGGTACAGAAATGCTAGTGATTTTTGTACATTTATTCTGTATCCTAAGACTTTGCCAAAGTTGTTTATCAGCTCAAGGAGCTTTTAGGCTGAGACTTTTGGGTTTTTTATATATAGAATCATGTCATCTACAAACAGGGATAGTTTGACTTTCCCTCTTCCTATTTGGAAGCCCTTGATTTCTTTCTCTTGCCTCATTGCTCTGGCCAGGATTTCCAATACAATGTTGAATAGGAGTGGCGAGGGAGGGTATCTTTGTCTTGTGTCAGTTTTCAAGGGCTATGGTTCCAGATTTTGCCCATTCAGTATGATGTTGGCTGTAGGTTTGTCATAGGTGGCTCTTATCATTTTAGCAGGAATGATACCAGCTCTTCTTTGTACAAGTGCAATACTTTGTATTTTAAAGTATGTTTCTTCTATACCTAGTTTATTGAGAGTTTTTAACGTGAAACAATGGTGGATTTTGTCAAATGCCTTTGCTGCATCTGTTGAGATAATCATGTGGTTTTTGTGTTTAGTTCTGTTTATATGATGAATCATATTTATGGATTTGCATATATCGAACCAACCTTGCGTCCCAGGGATAAAGCCTACTTGATCACGGTGGATTAGCTTTTTGATGTGCTGCTGGATTCAGTTTGCAAATATATATATAGTTTTAGAGACAGAGTCTTACTCTGTCACCCAGGCTGGAGTGCAGTGGTGTGATCTTGGCTCACTGCAGCCTTGTCCTCCTGGGCTCAAGCAATTTTCCTACCTCAGCCTCCTGAGTACCTTGGACCATAGGTGTGTGCCACTGTACCTGGCTAAGTTTTTATATTTTTTTGGGGGGGGTGAGTGGGTAGAGATGGGGTTTTGCCATGTTGTCCAGGTTGGTTTCAAACTCTTGAGCTCAAGTGATTTGCTCACCTTGGCCTCCCCAAATGCTGGAATTACAGGCATGAGCCACTGTGCCTGGCCATTTGCAAGTATTTTGTTGCGGATTTTTGCATCGTTTTCATCAAGGTTATTGGCCTGATGTTTTCTTTTATTATTGTGTCTCTGCCAGGTTTTGGTATTGGGAAGATGCTGCCTTCCTAGAATGAGTTCAGGAGGAATCCCTCTTTCTCAATTTTTTGGAAAAGTTTCAGTAAGGATAGTACCAGCTCTTCTTTGTACATCTGGGAGAATTTGACTGTGAATCCTTCTGGTCCTAGGCTTTTTTGGGCAGCTGGGGGTTGGAAAGCTATGTATTAATGATTTAATTTCAGTTTCAGAGCTTGTTATTGGCCTGTTCAGGGAATCCATTTCTTCCTGGTTCAGTCTTGAGCATGTATGTCTGTCCTGGAATTCATCCATCTCTTCTAGGTTTTCTAGTTTGTGTGCATAGAGGTGTTTGCAGTAATCTCCATGGTTGTTTGTATTTCTGTGGAGTCAGTGGTAACATCCCCTTGGTAATTTCTAATTGTGTTTATTTGGGTCTTCTCTCTTTTTCTTTATTAGACTGACTAGTGGTCTATCTATATTAGTAATTTTTTCAAAAATCCAACGCCTGGATTTGTTGGTCTTTTGTATGGTTTTTCGTGTCTCAGTCTCTTTCAGTTCAGCTCTGATTTTGGTTGTTTCTTGTCTTCTGCTAACTTTGGGGTTAGTTTGCTCTTGCTTCTCTATTTCTTCTAGTTGTGATTTTAGGTGGTTAATTTGAGATCTTTGTAACTTTTTGGTGTGGGCATTTAATGCTGTAAATTTCCCTCTTAACACTGCCTTAGCTATGTTGCAGAGATTCTGGTATGTTGTATCTTTGTTCCCATCAGTTTCAGAGAACTTCTTGATTTCTGCCTTAATTTCATTATTTTCCCAAAAGTCATTCAAGGGCAGGTTATTTAATTTCCATGTAAATGTATGGGATTGAGCAATTTTCTTCATATTCTATTTTTATTGTTCTGTAGCCTGAGATCTGAGAGTGTGGATGGTATAATTTTGGTTTTTAAAAATTTCCTGAGGATTGTTTTACGTCCAATTGTGTGGTCGATTTTAGAGTATGTACCATGTGGCAATGAGAAGAATATATATTCTGTTGTTTTTTTGATGGAGCATTCTGTAGATGTCTGTTAAGTCCATTTGGTCAATTGCTGAGTTCAGGTCCTGAGTATCTTTGTTAATTTTCTGCCTTGATGATCTGTCTAACACTGTCAGTGAAGTGTTGAGGTCTCCCACTATTATTGTGTGGGAGTCTAAGTCTCTTCATAGGTCTCTAAGAACTTGCTTTATGAATCTGGGAGCTCCTGTGTCAGATGCATGTATATTTAGTATAATTAGATCTTCTTGTTGAACTGAACCCTTTTCCATTATGTAATGTTCTTGTCTTTTTTTATCTTTGTTGATTTAAAGTCTGTTTTGTCTAAAATTAAGATTGTAACCCCTGCTTTTTTTGATTTCCATTTGCTTGATAGATTTTCCTTCATCACTTTACTTTGAACCTCTTGGTGTGAGATGGATCTCATGCCATGTGAGATGGATCTCCTGAAGATAGCATACCATTAGGTCTTGCTCTTTTATCCAGCTTGTTACTCTGTGTGTTTTAATTGGGACATTTAGCCCATTTACATTCAAGTATTGCTGATTTACATTTAGTATTGATATGTGGGGATTTGATCCTGTCATCACGTTGTTAGGTGGTTGTTATGCAGACTTGTTTGTGTGGTTGCTTTGTAGTGTCTGGTTTGGGTATTTCAGTGGTAATCATCTTTCCTTTCTATATTTTGTGTGATTTCTAGGAGCTCTTGTAAGGCAGATCTGGTGGTAATGAATTCTCTCAACATTTGCTTGTCTGGGAAGGATCTTTTTTCTTCTTCACTTATGAGGCTAAATGTGGCTAGATATGAAATTTTTGGTTGAAGATTTTTTTTTTTTAAAGAATGGTAAATATGGGCCCCTAATCTCTTCTGGATTGTAGGGTTTCTGCTGAGAGGTCTGCTGTTAGCTTGATGGGGTTTTCCATTTGTAGGCAACCTGCCCTTTCTTTCTAGCCGCCTTTAACATTTTGCCTTTCATTTTGACCTTGGAAAATCTAATGATTATGTGTTTTGGGGATGATCTTTTGTGTAGTATCTTGTAGGGGTTCTCTGCATTTCCTGTATTTGAACTTTGGACTCTCTAGTGAGGTTGGGTAAGTGTTAATATATGATATCCTGAAATATGTTTTCTAAGTTGCTGCTTTCTCTCCTCCTCTTTCAGGGATGACAATGATTCATAGATTTGGCCTCTTTGCAAAATTCGATATTTTTCAGAGGTTTTGTTTGTTCCCTTTCATTCTTTTTTCTTTATTTTTGTCTGTCTTATTTCAGAGAGCCAGTGTTCACCTGTTGAGATTCTTTCCTCTGGTTAGTCTATTCTGCTGTTAATACTTGTGACTGCATTGTGAAATTCTTGTAGTGTGTTTTTCAGCTCTATGAAGTCAATTAGGGTTTTTTTTTCCTTGCTATTTTATTTGTCAGCTCCTCTATTGTTTCTATAGTGTTTTTGGACTGGGTTTTGCCATTCTCCTGAATGTCAATAATTTTTATCTATAGTCCAAATTGTATTTCTGTCATTTCAGCCAGTTCTTCCTGGTTAAGAATGCCTGTTGGAAAACTAGTGCAGTGATTTGGAGGACATAAGATACTCTGGCCATTTGAGTTGCCGGAGTTCTTGCATTGGCTTTTTCCCCATCTCTGTGTGTCTGTGTGTGAGTGTTCCTTTAACTGCTGGGCTGCCACTGATTGAAGTGGTCAGGTGGAGGCAGGGGGATTGTTTTGGAACCCCAGGTTGGGTGCCCCTGTCCAGTGAGTAAAAGTGAGGACTGGGACCTGCATGGAGAAAAGTCTGGCCACCTTTCTTTCAGATGAGTGCTCTGTGCTAGGGGTCCAAACCACGCCATGGTTCCTGTGGACTCTCCAGGGCCTGGAGACAGCAAAGATGGCATCCCACTCTTCTCACTGGGAGCTTTGTCTCAGTGAGTTGCATAGCTGCCACTGGCTTGATAGACCCAGCAGGGGTGGTTAGAGACCCAGTCTGGGAGGACCTGTCTAGTGAGGAGGTACAGGATTGGGGACCCACATAATAAAGAGTTTGGCCACTTTTTCCTAGGGCTGCTGCAGTCTCTTGGGGGTTCACTCCAGTCCATAACCACCTCAGATTTTTCAGCAGCTGAAGGTATCAACAGTGAAGGCTGCAAAACAGCAAAGATGGCAGCCCAGCCCTCCCTCTGGGAGTTTTGTCCCACAGACTTTTGAAGCTGCTGTCAGCTGGAAAACACCAGCGGGGTGGATAGATATCTCGGTTGGGAGGTCCTGCTTAGTGAGGAGGAACAAGATTGGGGACCCATGTGAATAAACAGTCTGGCTGCTTTTTATGAGCAGTTGTACTGTGATGGGGCTCCATTCCAGTCTCTAGTCTCTTTGGACTCTCTAAATCCCAAAGGCAGCAATGGCTAAGGCTGAGAAACAGCAAGGGTGGGAGTGCATCCATTCCTCTGGGAGCTCCATCTCAGGGCGGTTTGAAACTATTGCTGGCTGGAAAACACCAGTGGAGGTTGTTAGAGACCTCCATCAGGAGATTCTGCCCAGTGAAGAGAAGTGGTATCCAGGACCCTCATGTAAAAGCGATCTGGCTGCTTCTCCACAGAGCTGCTGCACCATGCTGGGGGACCTGCTCCAGTCACTAGTCACTAGTCAGTCCTAGAGCCTGAAGGTAACAACAGCTTAGGCTGTGAAACAGCAAAGATGGTGGTCTGTCTGCTTGTGAGTTCCATCCCAGGGAGGCTGGGAACCACTGCCAGCTGGAAAATACAGGTGAGGGTAGCTGGTGACTCCAGTTAGGAGGTCCTACTCAATTAGGAAAAGTGGGGTTAGGTATCCATGTAAAAAGTAGCCGTCTGGCCACTTTTTCGTAGGGTAGCTGCATTGAAGGCAACAATGGCTAAGCCTGCAAAACAGCAAAGATCGTGGCCCACCCCTCCGTCTGGGAGATCCATGTCAGGGAAATATAACACTGCTACTGGTGGCGGGCTGGAGTTCTAAGCTAGTGTGTCTTATCCTGTGAGGTGCCATGGAAGCAGGACCTGCAGACCTTTGCTGCTCAGCCCCATAGATTCAGTCCCTTTCCTTAGGGGTATGTAGAGGGGTCCAGCCTCCCACTTTGCTGGAGTTGCAGCTGCATTCACCAGGAAGCTTGGGTATCTGAAGTTCCTGTGGCTCTGTGTATGCCTCAGCAGCTGCTTTGCCAAGACTCCATGTAGCTCAGTGTGTCAGACTGCAAGCTCTGTTGGAGTGAGTTCATGAAGGGATCTCCTGACCCAAGTGTTGCAAAGATCTGTGAGAGAAGCATGGGTTCTCAGGGTCACGCATTCACTCGCCACTTTCCTGGGCAGGGGAGGCTCCATTGGCTCCATGTCACTCCTGGGTGGGTGGTCATCTTGCGTTGCTTTTCTTCATTCTCCATGGGTTGAGTTGTTTTCTTGATGAATCTCAATGTGTGTACCTGGATGTTTCAGTTGAAGGTGCTTTATTTACTCACCCTCTCTATTTTTTCATGAGAGCAGTGCCTCTTTATTGATTTTCAGTCTGGAAGATCTGTCCAATGAGAAAGTGGGATGTTGAAGTCTAGCTATTATTGTATTGGGGCCTCTCTTTCTCTTTAGCTCTAATAATATTTTCTTTTTATATATATATGGGTGCTCCAGTGTTGGGTGCATATATTTATATATACAATTGTTATATCCTTTTGCTGAATTGACGCCTTTATCATTATAATGACATTTTTTGTGTCTTACAGCTTTTGACTTGAAGTCATTTTGTCTGATATAAGTATAGCTACTTCTGCTCTTTTTTGGTTTCCGTTGGCATGGAATGTCTTTTTCCATCCCTTTATTTTCAGTCTATGTGTGTCTTTATAGGCGAAGTGTGTTTCTTGTGGGCAACAGGTTAATGGGTCTTGTGTTTTCATCCATTTAGCCACTCTATGTCTTTTGATTGGAGAGTTTAGTCTATTTACATTCAATGTTATTATTGATAAGTAAGGAGTTACTCCTGCTGTTTTGTTATTTGTTTTCTGGTTGTTTTGTGATTTTCTCATCCTTCTTTCTTTACTTCCTATCTTTAGTGAAGGTTATCTCTTCTAGTAATATGATTTAGTTTCTTGGTTTTAATTTTTTTATGTATCCATTCTGTTTTTATGTTTGAGGTTACCATGAGGCTTGAAAATATTATTTTATAACCCACTATTTTAACCTGATAAGAACTTAACAGTTTGCATAAACAAATATGCAAAAAGAAAACTAATACAACTCTATAACTTCATGCCTCCACTTTTTAACTTTTTTTGTGTCTCTTTATGTCTTATTGTATTGTCTATGACTTGTAAAGTTGTTGTAGTTATTTTTGATTGGTTGATGATTTAGTTTTTCTAAAGATAAGAATAGTTTACACACCACAATTACAGTGTCGTACCATTCTGTGTTTTTCTGTGCGCTTACTACTACCAGTTAGTTTTGTACCTTCAGATGATTTGATTGCTTATTAATGTCCTTTTCTTTCTGACTGGAGTACTCCTTTTATCCTTTTGTGTAGAACAGGTCTGGTATTGATGATCCTTTAGCCTTTTGTTTGTCTGGGAAAGTATTTCTCCTTCACGTTTGAAGGATATTTTTGCTATATATATTATTCTAGGGTAAAAGTTATTTTCTTTCAGCACTTTAAACATGTCATGCCACTCTCCGGGCACCTGTAGTCGCAGCTACTCAGGAGGCTGAGGCAGGAGAATGGTGTGAACCCGGGAGGGAGAGCTTGCAGTGAGCCGAGATCACGCCACTGCACTCCAGCCTGGGCAACAGAGCGAGACTCCATCTCAAAAAAACAAATAAACAAAAAATGTTATGCCACTCTCTACTGGCCTGTAAGATTTTCACTGAAAAGTCTGCTGCCAGACATATTGGAGCTTCATTGTACAGTATTTGCTTCTTTTCTCTTGCTGCTTTTAGGATCTTTATCCTTGATCTTTGTGATTTTGATCATTAAATGCCTTGAGGTAATTTTCTTTGGGTTAAATCTGCTTGGTGTTCTAGAACCTTCTTGTACATGGATATTGATATCTTTCTCTATGTTTGAGAAGTTCTCTGATATTATTGCTTTGAATAAACTTTCTATTCCTATCTCTATCTCCTCTTTTAAGGCCAATAACTCAGATTTGCCCATTTGAGGCTATTTTTCTAGATTCTATAGGCATGCTCCATTGTTTTTTATTCTTTTTTTTTTTTCGTTTTGTTTCTTCTTTGTGTTTTCAAATAGCCTGTCTTCAAGCTCACTAATTCTTCGGCTTGACCAATTCTGCTATTAAAAGACTCTGATCCATTCTTCAGTATGCCAGTTGCATTTTTTAGCTCCAGAATTTCTTCTTGATTCATTTTAATTATTTTAATCTCTTTGTTAAATTCGTCTGATAGAATTCTGAATTCCTTCCCTGTGTTATCTTGAATTTCTTTGAGTTTCCTGAAAATTATTTTGAATTCTGTGTCTGAAAGGTCACATATCTGTTTCTTCTGGATTGGTCTTTGGTGCCTTATTTAGTTCATTTGGTGAGGTTGTGTTTTTCTGAATGGTGTTGATGCCAGCAGATGTTCTTTGGTGTCTCAGCATTGAAAAGTTAGGTTTTCATTATAGTCTTCACTGTCTAGGCTGGTTTGTACCTGTTCTTCTTGGGAAGGCTTTCCAGTTATTTGAAAGAACTTGAGTGTTGTGATCTAAGCTGTATCTGTTTTAGAGGGCACCCAAAACCCAGTAAGCCTGTGGTTCTTGCACACTCATAGAGGTACTGCCTTAATGGTCTTGGACAAGATCCAGGAGAATTCTCTGGATTACCAGGAAGAGACTCTTCTTCTCTTCCTTTACTTTTCCCCAAACTAACAAAGTCTCTTTTCTGTTTTGAGCCACCTAAAGCGGTGAAACCACAAGATACAGTCTTTCCCACTCTTCCCTCCCCTTTCCAAAGGCCACCACCACTACAGGCCGTGGGGAATACTGGGATACTGCCAGACTACTGCCAGTTTTCTCTTAAGGCCCAAGGTCTCTTAAGTCCACTTGTGGTGAATGCTGCCTGATCTTTCAGGTCAGCTCTGGTCCACAGCAGGTCAAGAAATGCCATCCAAGAGTCAAGTCTTGGAATCAGGGGCCTAAAGAGCCCATTTAGTGCTCTACCCCCTTCCCCCACTGTGGCCATGCCGGTGCCTAAGTTTCCTTTACTTTTCCCTATGCTTTTTTCAAGCAGAAGGAGTTTTGCCTTGTACCCACCACAGCTTGTAATATACTCAGTCTCACCTGAAGTCTCATAGGCTTACCTAAGGCTCTTGACATAGTTCTTGGGTATCACTACTGGTTATTCAGGGCCTAGGGGTTCTTCAGTTAGCATGTGATGAATGCTGCCAGGACCGAGTCCTACCCTTCAAGGCAACAGATTCTCTTCTGGCCAAGGGTGTGTCTAGAAATGTCATCCAGGAGGTAGGGCCTGGAACAGGAGCCTTGCAACTCTGAGTGGTGCCCTATCCTCCTGTGGCTGAGCTAGTATTCAAGATGCAGGATAAAGTCCTCCCCACTCTTCCCTCTCCTCTTCTCAGGTGGAAGGAAGGGGTCTCTTTTGGTGCCATAAGATGTGCAGCCTGGGGTTAGGGGTTGGACGATGTCAGCCCTCCCTTAGCCACCTCAGCTGCTGTCTGAGTAGGTCTTGAGATTTCCCCTAGTCCTGTCTCTGGGCCCAGTTCAGCACTAGGATTCACCTAGCAATTGAAGTCCTTATGGTCTACACTGTGTTTCCAGTTTACTTAGAGACCCAGTGCAGCGTGGCCTAATGGTGGTAAGGTTTGTGGGAACTCAAGTTTGTACCACTGGTATTAATAGTTCTCCTCTGGCTAGGGCTGGTTTAAATGCTCTCTCTGGCTGGGCATAGTTGCTCACACCTGTAATCCCAGCACTTTGGGAGCCCAAGATGGGAGTATTGCTTGAGTCCAGGAGTTTGAGACCAGCCTGGGCAACGTGGTGAAACCCCATCTCTACTAAAATACAAAAATTAGCCTTGTGGTGGCGCATGCCTATGGTCCCAGCTACTTGGGAGGCTGAAGTGGAAGGATCACCTGAGCCCAGGGAGATCGAGGCTGCAGTCAGCCATGATCACACCACTGCACTCCAGCCTGGGCAACAGAGTAAGACCCTGTCTCAAAAACACATATGCACACATACACACACACACACACACACACTTGCACACACATACATCTTATTTCTTCCATGGGTGGGTGTCCGCTGAGTTCAGTTCACTTTTCCTTTCTTCTTTAACAGGACAGCACTGAGTTTAATGCCTCACAATTGCTGTGCTCTCCCTCCCCCAGTGCCCAGAGACACTCCCCGTACCTTGCCACCACTGTTGGGGTGTAGCAGGGATGGTGCCAGCGATTTAAGGCTGTTTGTTCTATCTCTTCACTGCCTCGTTCAGTGATACAAAGCTGAAATCAGTTACTATGAGGGCTCATCTGATTTTTAGTTCTTATGAAGGTGTTTTATTTGGGTAGATAATTGTTGAATTGGTGTCCTTGCAGGGGGATGATGGGTAGAGTCTTCTGCCTTCTTGCTTTGCCTCCAGCCTCTATACTGTCTTCTTAAGACACCTTTATTTGCTACCCTTGTTATTTTACTTATTTTCTCTGTATTATAATTGCTTTTTTTCCTTTCCTATCTCTTTTATTACTCTGTAAATTCCTAGAGGGCAGAAACTAACTTCTGCACTAAACCACATTGCCTCATCATTTAGAAAAAAGTGATCATCTTGTCATAAGCAAGTATGATCACTGAAAATAAAGTAAAATGCAAAAGTGGTTAGAGTATAGACTTTTAAAAAGGAAACTGACATTTGAAGAAGGAGTCAATGCAAATAATAAAGAAATTTAATCAAATCATATAAGATGCTACTCTTGAATTTTGACTTAGGTTTAAGTAATTAAAGGAGTTTGAGAGAATTTGAAATAAAGCAAGGAATATTTATTATTTATTCCTTGCCTAGTATGTGGCAGACATTGTGATGAGTGGCTGGTATGTAATCCCTGTACTCAGGGTTTACATTTTTCAGAGAACAGATTAACTAAATAGTTTGAGAATTTTAAATTAATAATTGCTCTAATTTAATTGATTTTACATTAAATCTATATGTCAATGCATTATTAAAAATCACTTGATGTAGTACAGGTGCTAAGAAAATTGTTGATCTTCAGTAACAGGAAGTGGCATGAAAAAAATCTTTGGATTTTTGGTCCTTGTAAAAAGTTATCTTTGCTCCTTGTAGAAAGCTATCCTTATAATTTATCAAGTGTTTACACTTTTGTTTATTGTCTAATAATTCTTCCTATTTATCAGTTAATTGATATAGGAGAGAGTATAGCTATTCCAGATGAATTTACCGAACAAGAAAAGCAGTCTGGAGATTGGTGGAAGCGTTTGGTGTCAGCAGGAATAGCTAATGCGGTTGCACGGACATGCACGGCACCTTTAGACCGCTTGAAAGTCATGATGCAGGTTTTTTGCCAGTTTATAACCAGTTTGCAGGTTTTAACCAGTATATAAGCATAGAGTCTTCCTGAAGGTATGACATCCGTCACTATGGACAAATCTGGGGTACAAACAATAGGGAGCCTACCGAGGAAGCCAAGTGAGGTTTCATCCCATTTGGGATTGGAGTAATCCCTGGCAACATCCTGAGCGGAGCAAACTTTCTGTTCATCCAATGCCAAGAAAGAGACTTCACGATGCCGGTAAGAGTTGGACTTGTCATGGTGTCTAGAATGAGACAAAACACATTTCTCTGGCAAGTCCTGCAGGACTCCCTTCTCTTCAGAATCCTGCAGCTTTCTGATGAGCCAGGTAGGATAGAACGACAGAAGGTTAGACCAAGACAGATTCAACACCATAGTATCTCAGGTGATTTGATAGGACACAAAGGGTGTGGTCACAGAAAGCAAAGGGGGGTCTCCTCCAAGAGAGAAAAATCTATCCTTCTAAATGTGGGGTGGAGTGTGACTGTCCTGGAGACAGAGCAAACATGAGCAGCAGGTGCTCAGTGCACTTGCCACAAACGAGCGGCTGCAGGAGGACCCAGACTCTCCCTGTAAACTAGCATCAAGCATCATGACTTGCAGCACTGAGAACTAAGCTGGGACTTCACTTCCTTTACACAAATTGCGTTGACATTACATGCAGCATCCAAGTGAACACAGCTCTTGAGGCATTCCCAACGCACAGATCCTGTGTTTTTAAGGTCCCCCTTTTTTTTCAATATTTTGACATAATATGAAATTTTTATTTTTAATTTTCTCGATTGCATTCAAATACTTGCCAACATGCTGTCACAAAACATACAGAAAGCATATATGCATCTCACCCTGGATTAGCCACATGGGAGACCACAGGTGAGATCAGGAAATCCCTGAGGTTGGTCAGTTCACCTGGTTCAAGTGATTGTCGGTTCCTATGCTTGAGAGGGATTAAGAAATTGAAACCTATTCAAGTACCACAATAAAGAAGACAACATTGTTAAAGGGGCAATTTGCACTTGGATGAATGGATGAGACAGTTCTATTCGTCACTTCCTATTTTCCCTTGATCCGTGGTGTCCAGATGTCACTATTGAACTAACAGCCCACAAATCCACAGTTACCTGGGGGGCACTGGCGCTTTCCCCTCCTCCTCCTCATGGTCATTTTGATTTTCTGTAAACAAATTCAGAAGAGCAGGTCACAGTAAGGAAATCACACAAGAGCAAATAAGTGTCCAGTCATAGCACAAGAACATAAATATCCTCAGTGTAAGAATGTGACATTTTGACAGGATCATTCTGACTTATTTTCAGAAGTAGATGTGCCTGCTTTCCAGACCCATAGGACAAAATCTCCCTCATCTGGTAGATCATAATCACCTATCCTCTGACCTAAGTCTGTGTGAACAATTAAACAAAACTTTTTCCCCAAGATTTTCAAAAATTGCCCTAACCACTCTCCAGAAGTGTTGTTGCAATACTGATTTATCTCATCATATATCATGGTCAACGAATGGTTAGAGAAATTTGTATAGGAGACTGAACTGATGGATAAATTCTAACAATCCTTGCATAAAAAAGAGTCTGCGGTGCTACACAGAAACATTGACCGCTCATGGGGTGAAGAACTCAGGGCCCAGCCTCGTTTAGGGAAACTTATAAGCAAGATAAAGGTAGAAGTGTTTATGTCCTGCTTTCAAGGTGACTGCTTAGCTGGGACAAGCTGACCTAAAGGAGACCAAGCCTGGGGCCGAGAACAGTGAATCCAGAGACACATCTCCAATTACATAGGCAAGACTGTCAGTCGCCTGTGACAGGCATAGAAACTCCATGGACATTGTTCAGGGACACAAATCATTATTGCATGTGACAAGAGACATAGGAACCGAGCCAGGAGGCCTGACAGATACCTCCTGTACACAGGTGGCTATGACTTTGTCACACCTGCCTGTGGTCCAGTATGCTAATATTGGGGCCAGGAAGACAAAGTCCATGCCATGGGCCTAGGAGGAGAGGAATGTTCTCTGACCTTCACATAACTGTGTTTAATATTCTATCATAGTTTCTCTCTTTCTTTCTTTCTTTTCTTTTCCTTCTCTCCCTTTCTTTCTTTTTCTTTCTTTCTTTTTCTTTCTTTCCTCTCTTTCTCTCTCTCTCTCTCCTCTCTCTCTCTCTGTTTCTTTCTTTTTCTTTTTTTGAGACACAGCCTCACTCTGTCACTCAGGCTGGAGTGCAATTGTGGCTCACTGCAGCCTTTACTTCCTGGGCTCAGGTGATTCTCCCGCCTCTGCTGCCTGGGTAGTTGGGATGACAGGCACGCACCACCATGCCTGGCTAGTTTTTCATGTTTTTTGTAAAGATGGGTTTCATCACATTTCCCAAGCTGGTCTTGAACTCCTGAACTCAAGTGATTCACCCGCCTGGGCCTCCCAAAGTGCTGGGATTATAGGTGTGAGCCACCGCCCCCGGCTCCACTATACTTTGTGATTCAAACCAATATGTATGTATACAGTCTGTCCTCAGAATTGATCTTCCTCAGCCTAGACAGAGCTAGGAGGGACAAAGAATAGAGAGGCTACCTGGGGGAATGTTTAGAGCTTCCTCCTCTTCATCATGAGGGTGTTCACTCTCTACAACCAGAGCAGAGTCAACTTCGTGTTCCTTAAATGTGATTTTGGTGCTCCTGTGAGGCTGGTTGGAGTTAGAAGGGTTGTGACTATTTGAACAAGTGACAGCACATTCCTCCAGTGAGTCCTGAGGGACTTCCTTTTCTTCAGTCTTCTGCACCTCTCTGATGAGCCCAGTGGGATAGAGATGACAGAAGATTAATCCAAAAGGCATTGCACCCCAAGAAGTCCTAGGTGGTTTTGAAAGGAGGCTTAAGAGAGTGGTCCCAGAATGCAAAGGAGAGGTTCCTTTTAAGAGGGAACAGGCAATCCTTTTCTGTCTGCAACAGAGCGTGGCTGCCATGGGAACCAGAGAGGAAGACAGCAGCTAGTGATCATTGCACTGGGCAGATAGGAGCTGAGGAGGACGAAGACTCAGCTGTCCCTGTATGGTACAGTCTTGACAGCACACACAGAGAACCAAAAACAGCTGCCACATGGTGTGTCTAAGCTGGGTTGTAGTTAACATACTGTGGCCATGGCTATACAGGCATTTGAGCCATTGTAGACTTCAGAGATGGTGTGCCTTCTAGTTTTTTTAAAATTTTAATATTGTGACATGAAATGTAAATTTTTTTGTCTAGGTACTGTACTTTGTGTTCAACTTTGCTAGGTGCTTCCTATTTCCTCTGCTTGTTGCCTCTCTGCTATTTATCTTTCCTAAAAAGAACCTAAAGACAACAGTGTAGAAAGCAGCTTTACATCTCATCCTGGCTTTCACTACAGGGGAGAACAGGTCTCCTCTGTGTGTGCAGGAAGTCCCTAGGGATGGTGAGTTCATCTAGGGTCATACTTACAGGCACCAGGAAGACAATGGACAAGCACGTTAATGGGGCTATTTCCTTGTTGGGTGAGCACATGAAATCAGTGCACTCTGCAGCTTTCTTTATCCTGCCTCTGGAATCTGTGACTACCTTCACCTCCCTTTTATTCTTTCTGAGACCTTTTTCATATTTTACCACCCATTACCCGCTCCTGATTATTCAATGTTACCTGGGGGCAGGTGATTCCTGTACTTTCTCAACCTCCTCGTCTTTGTCGTCTTCATCCTCATCTTCATCTTCATCATTTTCTGCAAATACAGATGTGTCCATTGAAATATTTCCCATTTCACCCACTGCAAGCACAGTGAGCCCTATGTGCACAGGGACATAAACATCTACATGTATAAGTCCACACTGTGCTGAAAGCTCTCATGTTTTATCTCTAAAAAAATGCCCTGGCATGTTTTCCTGATCCATGAGGCAATGCGTTTCTGATCTGGAGGGTCACCATCAAGATGTGGCCAAATATTGAAAAGACCTTTTCCTCTTCATATCACTGGAGGCTTGCCCAGCCTCTCTCTGAACTTCAGCAGCTGTCTCCCCAATCCTGCCACAGATCTGATTCCCACGCACAGGCTCTGTATCCTGTCACAGTTCGCATTTAGAACCTATATCTTTCTCTTCGAACAGGACAAACAACCTTGTCCCACAGTATTCCATACATTAGGGACTTCATGGGCCCTCCAAGTGGCTTCCACTGTGTTAACCGGGGACAATCTCTCCATGGGGAGTGCTCCAGTCTAAACCACTTCCTACCACCAAATGCCACCACATCAAGTGCCTTCTCCAACACCACACAGCAAGGGGCTTTATCTCATTGTGAAATATAGTCATAAGTGTTCCCACATTTGAATGCAAGAGACAATTTGTTTGCTTTTACAGATTTAGAGACAGAAACCCAGGAAGGATAAATTAATCAGTTGCCCACAGTTGCTAAAGACATTGCTGAAGATAGATCCTGGGAACATTCATTCTTAGTCCAGGGCTCCTTTCACTCTAAAAGCTGCTTCCTGTCACAGCCTCCTTCCTGTTCTTTAAAACTGGACGGATGTTGCCTCTTGCTCTAAAGACCACATTCCATCAAGAAAGGAGGATACATTTGCCATTCTGTAACCTCCACCCCATGGGTTTCCCATCTCTGCTCCCACCCAAGAAATTCTGATCATGTCATGGCCACAAAAGTTTACTGGAAAGAAACACTACCCATACAATTGTCATTGTGGAGGTGTGGAGGTCTGGGGACTTTCATAAGCCTGAAGCTGTGTGTCATCAGGGCCCATGGCCACCTTACCTGGGCTCAGCTTGTGAACAAGGTGCTCTGCCAGCCTGTGCCCCTCAGCCAGCTGCTCTCGGAGGTCCTGACCCTGGGACTTGTCAGGGTCATCAGGAGTGAGGAGGGTTTTCAGATGCTTGTTCAGCCAGCGGGAGGCATCTCTCCCTTCCCGTAACTTCTCCCGTAACTGGGTCAGCTCTTTTGCCTGAGAGTGAACCAGGGCTTTATACTGCCTAAGGTGAGATAGTAGAGAACATTTAATAATGGAAAGGGATGAGTGATCAGTTCTAATACCGCAACAGAGGTTTCTGTGAGAATGTCCTCAAGGAGACCTCCAAGCAGAAGGTCAGAACATGTTTGGGGAAATGTCTGTGGCCAAGAGAAAGAAGAATATATATATATATACACACACACACACACACACACACACATACATATATACAAACATACACACACATATATATACAAACACACACACACACAGCCTTCTGATATATGAGAGAGTGCTTCTGTAATATCCTCGCAGATGTTCCATTCATCTTTTTCTTCTGTAAACAAAAGTTAGTGTCTTCCTAAATCAGTTCCACAAGGATGTCCTTTCAGTTCCTCACTTTGGCCATGGGCATCTCTATGTGAAAATTCACATAGCGCATCTTGCAGTGACTAGATACAAAGCCATGCACAGAAATGTGGCCAGGTGCAGATGGGGTGAATTGGAAAGATGAAAGAAGAAAAGAATGACAGTGTTAAGAAGGCAATATTGATTGAACAAATGAAACGCCACAGTCAGTCAAGAGGTGATTCTGACGAAGAGTAAAGGTGGTGGTGATCGCACACCATTCTGAGTATCCTAAATGCTTCTGAGTGGTTCACTTTTTTTGGTTTATTTTGTGTTATGCAAATTTTACCTCAACAATCAGTGGTTTTAAGAAGAGAAAACAAGGCTTAAGAAACAACTACAACCCATAACTTACTAAGATGACTGTTCTCTGTTTTATAAATATTTGTGTGACACGTGCCTGCCATGTAAATGCCTGCCGTTGTCCTGGCCCAGCTCAGCTCTTAGTTCTCCCAGCTGAGTTGCTGCACTTCAGAGATTCACACCCCTGCCCATCTGCCTGCCCCCAATGGGGCCCGCTCACCTGAGCTCCTCAGCTTGCCTGAGCTTCTCTGCCAGCTTCTCCATGGACTGCAGTTCATCCCTCAGCACAGAGTCTATGATGTCTTTGTACTCTTCACACTCTGAGAAAAGACAGACACGCCTGCCTCAGTGGAAGGTGGGACATGCTGCTGGGGTCACTGTCTATAGGGCAGGCGGCAGCATCCATCCCAAGGACGAAAGCAGCTCCAGTACCAGGCTCCAGGCAGGCATTTCCACATCTTTATTTATCAACCTCCCAACTTTCTGGCATCTGATACTCCCCAACTCAGGGATGGGGAGAAAGAAACACAAGGGCACATCAAGTAACTTGACAAGATGATTCACCTGGAAGAAGGCGGAGTCAGAATTCACAGCCCCTGAGGTCTGACTCTGAATCCTGGGCCACTTTCCCAAGCCTTGCGGCCTCTCCTGTAAAACACTGCACTGGTGCATGAAGTAGTGATTTTCTATACAGTCAGGAAGGCCCTAGGACTATGGGACCCAAAGTTTCCCTTGTACTGGGAATTTCAAGTGCGAATATGTCAAACATTTAAAAAATCATATCTGGATATAATTGCATAAAATATGAGGCACAAGACTGTGAGGCTATAGTAGAAATATGCCCAAATACTACTAAAGTTTGAATTAAGTTAGAAATAGTAGAATGAAGAACTAATAGATAGTGTTTACTCTGTTCCAAGAACTGTTCTAGGAAATTTACAAGAAATAGGTCATGTAATTCATTGCAGTAATTTACAGAGGTAGGTATTATTATAGTACTCAATGAGCAGATGAGGAAACTGAGGCACAGAGAAGATAGGCAACTTGGATGGAGCCCAGGAGACTGGCCCAGGGTCCCTGCTCTGCACACTACACTGCTACCTCTACAATGTCTCATGTGCCATCTTTCTTCCTCTTCAGGAATAAGAGCCTGTGCCCCAGGAAGCAGCACTTCCCTCTCACTGGGACACTCCCTGCTTTGAAGGGTGTCACAGATATCACAGTTTCTGTTAGGGGCAGTCTCCTCTTTAAGCTCCTTAGAGTGGGTACTCTGTACAGTTGCCATGTTTCCCCCAGGGTCCTCTGGATGGAGCTTTGCCTATTGGGCCTCAAAGAAGCTTGAACTGAATGGAAGTTCATTAGTCCCAGACATTTAGACCAACAGACTAGATGTTACTTGTCTGTAGAATCTTATATGGTACAGAGAGGATTCTCATAAACATGATTTAGCCTCTTACTGAGGAAAACAGGTGGTTCTGTGCCTGTGTCAGAAGACAATAAGTAGGATTTTAAGTCTAGTCCCACCTCACACCAGACTGCCAATGTGGAAAAGTTGCTAAATACTTTGTGCCTCTGTTTTCCATGTTTAACAAAATGAGGTTAAAACATCCACTTCTATTTTCCTAGAAGTATGGGAAGGATGAAATTAATTTCGATGAAAAGACCGTTCAGTTTCTCAGAACACAGGTGATCATTCATCACGTTCATCATTGTGAATCTATAGAACTTACTGTATTTCTTCAGCTGGTTGGCCAGGGAGTAGGCAGTAGCTTGAGTTATAAGGAATTTCTCTTTGAGGTCTCGGAACTGCTGATTGCTCTCTGCCAGCTGCGAGCGCAATTCCTGGTTGATTTCTAGGATGTTCATCTCTGCCCTCTCGCTGGACAAAGGGTCGGCAGATACCACCATGCTGACGTTTGTGGCAGAAGAGGTAGAGCCAGGGACTGGGGAGAAGAAACCCAGACACATGATGGGTCAAAAACTAGTGAAATCAATTAGGTTTAATCAGGACTGAGAGATGACAATTACTGGAATTGTTAACTTACGGTTGAGAAAAAGTTGATGAACACGACACAACACTTTAGAGTCCTTAACCGCAAAAACAGGGACCGGGATGCCTGAGCTCAGAGCTGAAGGCACTGCCTGTAGCTCCGACTCTGACAAGAGTGAGGGAGGTAGCAGCCAGCGTACCAGGTAACGGTCTGCAGTTGCAATAACAGAATTAGAAGGTGGGGGTGTCATGGAATCTTAGAAACCCTGCGTTCCAATTGCCCAGGCTGTGCTGAAACACTAGGCCCCCTGGTCTCACCTGAGGGTCACTGATGGGGACCATTTCTTCAGCAGTCACTCTCAGTATTTGTGCACCCTTGTGACAATGCTACAGGCCCACCTCTTTCTCAATACATATAAGCATATTCCTCATTGTTCATCTCTTGTGTGTATAAAATCATCAAGGTAGGGATAGTTTTCCAGAAGGTTATATTTTCTTAGTGGTAGTCATCAAGTCACCTCACCTTCTTTTTAAGGTAAAATGATCTTAATGCTTTTCCACAAGTGAAAGATAGCAAACTTTTAGTCTGCTATGATATCCCTCTGGGTCTTCTGCAGTTTTTTCTGTATCGACTGAAAATGAAGGAATAATTCACTTTTAAAAAAGATTTTCTACGCTGTCTCAGTATTCTTGCTGCATCCCATTGTTATGTTGATTTCTTTTCTCTTACTGGGGCAGCATCTTGGCTTTTCATTACACTTAAGACCAGTTTCACATCCCTACGTCCAAAGCTCTTCCTCTATGTGTGGGTCGGTTTGCTTTTTTAATGTCACTGAACACTCGTTTCATACTTGTCACTTACGAATATCATTCTCGTCCCAAAATAGCTCTTTTCAAGGTATCAAGTGATCAAAATCATTTGTATATATCCCCTGAAAACATGTGTGACCATCTATCTTGGGAAGTCTTGTAAACCTGATGGTATTTTGTTGTTTTTAGTTTTCCCATATATTGAAAAGAACAGGGCATTGAACGCTTCTCAGGGAATATTGTTGGAGATATATATATATATATATATAGAGTTGCTCTAACACTGTTGATGTGTGGTTGCATTCCACTAACCGAACCTGGCAAGATCAAGCTCATGGTCATGGGTGGTTGGTGATCCTCAGTGTTCCTGTGCAGTAGAAGGTGAGTTTGAGATGAGAGGGATGAGTAGGGGAGTGTGCTCCCCCAAACCACCTCCTCACTTTCTCAGCTTCCATCTTCAACTAGGTCTTGTGAGGCTAGGACTTGGGAGATTGTCCTGTAGCCCAGGTCTCCTAAGTGTGGCTGCTGGACTTGCCTGAGTTGAGGGTGTGATGAGTGTGACCACGGGCTACGCAGCATTCATGTGGAAGTGAAGGAGGAGGACTGGATCAATCCCAGTGGAAAGCGCACCTCTCAGCAGCCCGCACCATCCTCCACCTACACTGTGTAATGATAGTGCTTTGAGATGTAGCAAAGGCTATAAATTTATCTATTCTCTGGTGTCTCAAAGACCTGACATTCTGTGTCAGAATGAAAATCTGTCTAGTTTCTTCACTTTAAAAATGATAAAACTGCAGGTTCACAAAGTTACTGGTTTACTTGAGGTCACACAGGGATGCATTTTGAGCACTGCCAATAAAAGGAATCACAATAATTATTCAGTAATTATTTATATAATCCATGTAATTCAATAAATAAACATAATTATTTATTGACCAATTCATACTAGGCATTTTGTTCAAAACTGTACACATACTTGGATATCATATTTTCATCATAATCCTTAAGGCAATGTTATTATCCATAAGAAACAGGTAAGAAACCTGAAGAAGAGGGATAGCAAATCATGTATTTGGCTATATATCTATTTTTTGGTTTCTGTGATGCTGGAAGAATGACCAGAATGAGTCATGGGAAGAGCATTCATTCCTGTGTCATTTTCCAGGACAGAGGTGTGCCCTCCTTCAGCATTGGGACCGAAATTCAGAAGTGCCTGCAATCTTGCTTTAACAGTGTGGGAAATAACCTCTATTACCTGGAATTTCACTGGAACTTTGGAATATACAAGAGAAATATGAGACTTGGGTCTTCCCTTGGCTGTATTTAATGCACTATTCTATTGAGTACGAATGATTCTCATTAAGACTTTTGCCTTTTTATAACTTTTCTTTCTGACACAGAATGTCAGGTCTCTGAGACACCAGAGAATAGATAAATTTATAGCCTTTGCTACATCTCAAAGCACTGTCATTACACAGTGTAGGTGGAGGATGGTGCGGGCTGCTGAGAAGCACGCTTTCCGCTGGGATTGATCCAGTCCTCTTCCTTCACTTCCACATGAATGCTGGGTAGTCCATGGTCACACTCATCACACCCTGAACTCAGATACAACATATATTTTATGTATAGATACAATATATATTTTATGGAGAAGATTTTACTCTTAGCTCTATTTAAAATGAATAAATCTAAGCACTGGTTTAGGTTTTATGCCCTGGACTTGCTATTTTTTCTGATTTCTGTTTTGAGATTAAATTCTCATGTAGATAGAAAAATGCTTCTTATTACTTATAAGAGCAAATTAGTTATTGATTTGAGTTTCTGAAGTCGAAGCACAAACTTTTGTTTTTAATCTTTGTCTGACCCCATCAGTGCCACTCATTGTCTCTCAGAATGACCTGGCCGTGATCCTGCACTTACCCTCGTCCTGCTGAACCATTTCCACGCACTGTCCAATTGCATCAGTGATCTGGGCTCTTCCCAAAGCTCCTTGAAATGGGTCCAGGTCTCAGGATGTCAGACACCTTCCAGACACAAAAGTAACCCATACTGTAGAGAGCGCAGCTGGGTTCCCACCTCCCTGAAGTTGGCAGGGATGTCCTAGGGCAGGAAGGAAGGCTTTCCCTTTTTAGCGGGTCTTTTCTTCATGTCTCAGTGCCTCTGATCTAGTGAACACAACTGTCCTGAATGTGAAAGAACTTGCTAAATTTCTGGTTTATTTTTAGGTGGCTAGAACAGATTTATAAGACTTCCTTACCCATGTCTGCTGAAGTTTGAATTCTTAGTAGTAGGATTTTGTTTTTTTTCCTTGTAAGGTAAGCAGCTTGCAGAAGACTGGCCTTGTTGCTGGACAAAAAGATGTAAACTTAATTTCTACTCAAAGCAAGCTTGAATTTGAAACTAGGGCTTTCACTGTTCCAAAGTTGGACTGTCACTGCCTCAGGCATGTGTCCCGAAGGGCTCGTGTCTCTGCCGTAGTCAGGATAAAGATAAGATGGAGCCCAGCAAGCCAGGTCTCCTTCACTTCTAGGTTCCCCCAAGAGATTTCTCTGCTTTAGAGACTGCATTGAATATATTCTTGTTCTGCTTTTGTGTTTGGGCTTTGGAATGATGTGATGCAGCTCAATGGTTCCTACCCCCAAGTTGATCAGAGTAAGAAACACCTGGAAGGTCAGTGCAAATACAGGTTCAGTGTCCTCCTTGCAGGGATTCTGATTCAGCGTGCTCAGGTGGGGCCTGGAATGTGTTTGTTAACATGACTCAGATGTGCAGTCAGTTTGGGGACCCTCTGATACCACGGACCTTACAGTTTATGGGATGATTCTGTTTTGCTGATGAAGAAACCAAGGCACAGAGAGTCTGTAACTCACCCAAGTTCCCTTTGCTGTAAGTACTGGAGCCAGATCTCAGGTAGATTCCCCCTCCTACAAGCCCCATTCCAAGTTCTCCAATTCAGTTGTGTGGTTCTTTCCAAGTAGGTGTTTCTCTCCCCTGTACCTCATTTCTGCCCCCCGCCTCAAAAAAAGTTTTTGAATTTAATTTGTTTTATCTAATACATTTCCTCTAGACATGCTGTCAGCAACCTATTCTGGCCACTTACTATGTGACATGCCTCTTTGTGAGACAGGGTCTCATTCTGTTACTCAGGCTGAAGTGCAGTAGTGATTACTGCTCACTGCTACCTGAAACTTCCAGGCTCAAGCGATCCTCCTGTCCGAACTTCAGAAGTAGCTGGAACTCTATGCACACATCACTATCTTGGCTAAGTTTTTTTTAATGTTTTGTAGAGATGAGGTGATGCTATGTTTCTCAGGCTGCTCTCAAACTTCTGGCCTCAAACCATCCTCCCACCTAGGCCTCCAAAATTGCTGGGATTACAGGAGTGAGCCACTAAACCTGGCCTTAAAAAGCCTTTTTTTTTCTTTCTTAATAAAAATACAGGACATGGAGGTGTGGAAAGATACCTCTCTTTATTACTGTTGCTATTATTACTTCTAAAGTATAATTCATATATCACAAAAGTCACCATTTTTATGCATACCATTCAGCGTCTTTTACTATATTCCGAAGGTTTTGCAACCATCACCACTACCTAATTTCAGAATACTTCAGCAATGCTGGAAAGCATTCCTGTACTTACTGGCAGTCACTCTCCAATTACCCCGTTTTTGCAGTCCCTGACAAACACTAATCTACCTTCTCTATATATAGATATATTTGATCTGGGCATTTCCTGTATATGGAATAATGCAACATTGCCTTTTGCATCTGCATCTCTTACTTAGCACAATGTTCTCAAAGTTCATCCTTGTTGTAGCATGCAGCAGTACTTCAATCCTTTTTGTGGCCAAATGATATTCCATTTTATAGTTATACCACATTTTGTTTACTGTTCATCAACTGATGGTGGTTTGGGATGTTTCCACTTTTTCACTATTATGAATAATGCTGCTATGAACATTTTTGTACATGTTTTTGAGTGAATATTTGATTTTAATTTTCTTGGTTATATACCTAGGAGTGCCATTGCTGCATCATATATGACTTTATGTTTAAGTTTTTGAGGAACCGACAGACTGTTTTCCAATCTCAGTGGCTACAGCATTTTACATTCCCACTAGTAATATATGAGAATTCCATTTTCTCCATAACTTTCCAAACATATGTTGTGTTTTTTTTAAAGTCACCCTTGTGGGTCTGAAGTGGTATTTCATTTTGATTTAAGTTTACATTTTCCTAATGAGGAAAAACATTGAACCTCTCCGTATGTGCTTGTTGGCCATTTGTATGTATCATTTACAGAAATGTCTATTCAAACTTTTTTCCCATTTTTAAATTGTCTTTTTTGCTCACTTATATGAATTCTTTATATACTGTAGATACTAGACCTTTGTTAGGTATATGATTTGCAAATAGTTCTCCCATTACATGGATTATCTTTTCACTTCCTTGACAGAGTCCTTGGAAGCATGAAAGATTTTTTATTTTAATGAAGTCCATTTATCTTTCTATTTTGGTGTTGCTTGTGCCTACTTAAGCAGTGTCTAATCCAGAATCACAAAGATTTATACCTATGTTTTCTTCAAGACATCGCTTTTGGAATGAGAACTTTCCTGGGTTTTAGTGGAGGACAGACATTGTTTATTTATGCCTCTTGTCTATTACTGATATTTCCCCTGATTGGTACTGATATGCCCACCACCCCTCCAGGGAGCATCCCGTGGCCTGGAACAGAGCTCTGGGGACTGGCATCCTTCCACTGACTTTGATGCTGATGACAGCCCTGATCGTGTGATTCAGCTGGCCTTAACCCGACCCACGTGCACGTATTCCTCAGCACATCTAGAGCTGAAGTCGAGAGCCTCTGTGGGAACGCTTGGCAGCCCATGCTGTTCTAAGGCTGGAGCAGAATTTCTTAGTCTATTCCAGGTAGACAGGCCTGCAGGGGGTCCAACCCCTACAAGCCCCTCTGTCTGGAATAGACTGCTTTCATCTCTGATGTTAGAAAGCAGACCTGTTTCAGGGTTTGGGGAAGGTTGTTCGATATGAACTGGGTCCTCTCTAATTATTTTTACTGTATGTGTGACTTCTTCCTAGAAAGAATGGAAGAATGTTTATGTTAGAACATTTTATCTATTCTTTGTCAATTGTTGTTTGTCTGCAATTTTAAAGTAGATAAAGGATAGCTCAATGTAAATATATTCTTAATAATTAACTATGGTTGATGTCCACTGCCATGAGATCATATTCACTTCTACATATGATCTATTACTTAGGAATTATCCTGCTCCTGATGAGAAAACAGACTCAGAAAGATTACAAAATTACCTGGGCCACAAGTCTAGTGGGGAGAAGAATAAGAATTAGAAACTAGTTTCTTTTGGCCTTCAAAGCTAACCTCATACCATTAGATTGAACTGAATGACAATACTTTCGCTATAATAAGTCTCAGAGTTTGTGGTTCTGCATTGTGTTTCCAAGGAAACAGGGTGTCACTTTAATATTATTTCAAACTTTTAAATGTCAAACTCTTTTTTTAAATAAAACTTTTTTGTGTTTGTTCTATTCCATTGTTTTTGTTTTTCTTTTTTTCTCAAGTGATCCCTATTATTTATCTGCTGAATATTTGTTACCTATCTTCTGTCAATTTTTATTTTTTGAGTGTTTGCCATCTGTCACTTTGTTTTATGCTACCAGCTATTCACTAAGATATAATTTGCATGGAGTAAACTACAAAAAACCTAAGGGTACAGACTTATGACTTTTAATATAATTATACCTTATATAATAACACCCACATCAAGAGAGGGAACATTTTCCTCTATGCCAAAAAGTTCTGACGTGCTCCTTGCCAGTCAATACTCATCCCCCAAATGAAGAATATATTCTAAATTTTGTCACTATCTTAGTCCTTTTGTCCCTTTGCGTTGCTATAAAGGAATACAAGAGGCTGGGTCATTTATAAAGAAAAGAGATGTATTTCGCTCATAGTTCTGTAGGCTGCAGAAGAAGAATGGCACCAACAACTGCTCTTAATGAGGGCCTGAGGCTGCTTCCCCACCCTGCAGAAGATGAAAGGGAACCAGTGTGTGCAAAGATCATATGGTGAAAGAGGAAGCAAAAGAGAGAGGAAAAGCTCAAGACTCTTTTTAATAAGCAGTTCTTGCAGGAACTAATAGAATGAGAATTCACTCACTACCTTCTCCCAGGGAGGGGATTAATCTATTCACGGGGGATCCACTCCCATAACCCAAACACCTCCCATTAAGCCCCACCTCCAACATTGGGGATCAAATTTAAACATGAGATTGGGAGGGGACAAATATCTAAACTATAGCAGCCACAACTGATTAATTTTGCTTATTTTTGTGCTTCATAACAATGAAATCATTCAGTATCTTCTCTTGTTTTGACTTCTCTTAATCAGTTGGATATATCAGTATGCTACCAATTTGTTTGTGTTTTTCTCTCATTTTGTTTTGGCCTAGTAATATCCTATTTATTGCATAATTATCACACAATTTCATATCCATTTTTGTGATGGTAGACAGGTTTACTTGTTGGCTCTTATGCATAAGTAACTGAATATTCTTATACACTTCTTTCTGTGAATATACATACTCATTTCTCCTTGGTATCGATAGCTAGGGATGGAATTTCTTGGTGAAAGGCTGAAAACGGACACAGAGTTTTGCAAAATGATTATATTATTTTACATTTCTATGAAAAACGTAGGCTATTTCCAGTCGTTCTACATTCCCACACACTTAATATTTTCAGTCTTTTAAATTTTAGCCATTCTACCAGATGTGTAGGGATATTTTGGTTTTCACATGCTTATTGGTCATTTGGATATCTTCTTATGTAAAGCACCTTTTCAAATTTTTCCACTCATTGATACACTGGGTTGTTTATCATTTTCTTTGTGATCTATTGGAGTTATTTATATATTTTGAATGAGTCCATTGTTTCATATATGTACATGTGAAGCGTTGAAGTTGAGACCCTCTCTGAGAATGCCTGGCAGTCCATGCTGTTCTAAGGCCAGAGTGGACTTCCTCACCCCATGCCAAACAGAGGGGACCATAGAGGTTGGACCCACTCAAGACTAATATATATATATATATATATATATATATATATATATATATATATATAAATATATATAAATGTATTTATTTGCAACATGCATATATGTTGCAGATAATTATTCTTGGTCTCCAGATAGGTTTTGCCTTGTTAAACACTAACCTATAATAAGCAGAAGCTTTTTAAAAATGAAGTACAATTTAACTGATTTCTTATTGTGGTCAGTGCTACAGTCTAAGAAATATTTTCTGGTCTAAGAAATATTTTCCTATGTCAAGTTCATGAAAATAGTTTGTATTTTTTCCTTTAGAAGGTTTCTAATTCTAACTTTCACATCTTAAGTTAATTTCAATGTATGGTAGAAAGTGGCTGTTACTATTTACTTTTTAAAACAACAAATATTATTTCACTCAGAAACTTTCTATTGAAAAGTCTCTCATTTCCCCAATGAAGGGCATTGGTGTCTTTGTTTTTAAAAAATTTAAATAACTGTACATAGGGGGAGTATTTTTTGAATCTGTATTCTTTTACTTTATTTATGTATACTTACACCCGTACCATAGCTTCTAAATTATTGTAGCTCTAAAATGAGTTTTGAAATCTAGCAGAGTAAGTCTTCCAACTTTTTCAAGACCAACTTGCCTATTCTAGATTATTTGATTTTCAAATACATTTTTAAATTAGCATTTACATTTCTTTAAAACTCCTAGTAGAATTATTAATCAGAATTATGTTGATGTGATATCCTCACAAAATTGAGTCTTCCAATCCATGAACATGATATACATTTCTCTATTTACTCTTCTTTAATTTCTCTCACCAATAGCTTTCAGGGGCTTTGTATCTGCTTCATTATATGCATTCTTAAGCATGCAATGATTTTCGATATTAATCTCTATTATGTTTTATTGAATTTCATGTTCTATCTGGTAATTGCTAGTATGGAGATATTAAGATTATTAAGTCAATGTTATAAAGGTATAAATTAAGTACAATAGACTGCAGCACTTTAAAATGTATAATTAAATGCATATTTACAAATGTATACACAAATGGAACAACTGCTATAATCAAGACATGGGAATTTCCATAAGCCTAAAGTTTCTTATAAGGCTTTGCAGTTCATCACTCTTTCAACCCTCCACCCCAGGGAGCAAGTGTCACGTTAGGTCAGTTTGCATTTTTAACCATTTTCTGTAAATGAAATTAGACCTGTGTTCTTTTGTGTCTGCCTTCTTTCATGCATCATATTAATCCATCTGTATAAGTATTTTCATCAACTGTTAATATGCTGTAATTACTGAGTAGTATTCCTTTGTGTGGCTACACCATGCTTGTTTCCTAGGCTGACTAAGAATCCCTAAGCCTAGTTGTGAAGGTGGCCGCATCTACCTTTAAACAAGGGGCTGGCAACTTAGCTCACACCCGGCCAATCAGGTAGTAAAGAGAGCTCACTAAAATGCTAATTAGGCAAAAACAGGAGGTAAAGAAATAAGCAATCATCTATTGCCTGAGAGCACAGTGGGAGGGACAATGATCGGGATATAAACCCAGGCATTCGAGCCAGCAACAGCTACCCTCTTTGGATCCCCTCCCTTGTAGGGAGCTCTGTTTTCACTCTATTAAATCTTGCAACTGCACACTCTTCTAGTCCGTGTTTGTTACAGCTCAAGCTGAGCTTTCACTCACTGTCCACCACTGATGTTTGCCACCATCGCAGACCCACCGCTGACTTCCATCCCTCCGGATCCAGCAGGGAGTCTGCTTTGCTCCTGATCCAGCGAGGCACCCATTGCTGCTCCCTAATGGGCTAAAGGCTTGCCATTGTTCCTGCATGGCTAAGTGCCTGGGTTCATACTAATCGAGCTGAACACTAGTCACTGGGTTCCACGGTTCTCTTCCATGACCCACGGCTTCTAATAGAGCTATAACACTCACTGCATGGCCCAAGATTCCATTCCTTGGAATCCATGAGGCCAAGAACACCAGGTCAGAGAACACAAGGCTTGCCACCATCTTGGAAGTGGCCCACCACCATCTTGGGAGCTCTGGGAGCAAGGACCCCCCGACTCCCTTCCCCCCCCACCCCCCATAACAGAAAGACTGCCCATCTGATTTGTATGTGTTTAAACTTAGAAGAAACTGTTATCCAGATTTTCAAAGAGGTCAGACCATTTTTCATTCCCACAAGGGTAAGACTTCCAAGTGCTTTATATCCTTACCAACATGTGTTATTTTCAGCCTTTTTAACTTTATTGTTCTCATGGATATGTAATGGTATCTCATCATTGTATTGACTGATCTCCCAGATGACTAAAGAGTTGAGCATCTTTGCATGTGCTAATTGACCATTCACGTAACTTCTTTTCTGAAGTATCTACTCAAGTCTTTTGCCAAATCGTTTCATTGTGCTGTTTATATTACCAGACTGCATTATATACATACTATTAAAAAATCCTTTGTTGGATATAAATATAGTATCTCCTATATTGTGGCTTCTTTTTAAGTTCTCCTAATGTTCCCTATTTTGGAGGTAAAGATAGATAATCATCAAAAAGGTGATTATATATATACATATAACTATATTCATGTCTAAGAATCATTAAACATATATGTAAGGATCTATTTCTGAATTCTCTCTTCTCTTCCATTGATATATGTTCTATTTTTTTCAACAATACACATGATCTTTATTTCCATAGCTGTATAGCTTCTCCTGATGGTGTAAAACATTCCTTCAGCTTCTCAGACTGCAGCAACCCTTTCCAGTGTTGACCTGCATCCTCTGTGTGTGAAAGGAAAAGGAGGTGACAGGACATGGGGGAGTGGGAGCAGAAAGAGGAAGGAGGAGTGGTGACAAAAAGGCTGAAGGACAGAATGAGGAGGAAGGGAGGAGTGGGAGGCAGGATGAGTAGGACCAGGAGAGGAAGAGGACCAGAGCCTGAATACCAAGGAATCCATATTCTCAGCCCCAGAAGGCAACCCTGTCTCTCTGGAACTCCACTAACCTCATCCTGGACACACACACACACACACACACACACACACACACACACACACACACACACAGAGTTCTCTGATCCTCCAGCCACCTTTCTTTCTCTAAGAAGAGCCTCTCACCCTTCCTCCCATTCCTCATCCTGGGGATTCTTTCCTTTTCCACTGGGTCTTCCAGGACTGGTTCACATCCTTCACCTGCAGCCAAACCCTTGCCTTGTGGTTCTGGAGAGTCCAGAGCAGTGAAAGCTCTCAGGAAAAGGAAGTGCAGGGCACGTGAGGTCACAGGGTCACCCCGCAGAATCTGAGTGCAGTTGTCCAAGGTCAGATATCAAACTTTTTCCAAAGAAAATCAAAGAAGATCCTTGATCCAGATCATTCTTTCTTGTGGACAATTAAGCTATGAAACCATAAACTTACGACCAAGTTTCTTTCTGAAGACCAAGATCAGCCTAAACAAGGGTAGAGCAGGTGTGGATGCAAATTACAGAAACTGAGCACTGAGCAAAACCTGGGCTGCTCCCACAAAGGCCCATGTAAAAGCTGCCTAGGCCACTGTCTAAGAAACCTTCTGAGGCAGTTCCAAGATGGCCGAATAGGAACAGCTCCTGGCTACAGCTCCCAGTGCAAGCGATGGAGAAGATGGGTGATTTCTGCATTTCCAACTGAGGTACCGGGTTCATTTCACTGGGGCTTGTCGGACAGTGGGTGCAGGACAGTGGGTGCAGCGCACTGAGTGTGAGCTGAAGCAGAGCGAGACATGGCCTCACCTGGGAAGCGCAAGGGGTCAGGGAATTCCCTTTCATAGCCCAGCAAAGCTGTGACAGATGGCACCTGGAAAATCAGGTCACTCCCACACTAATACTGCGCTTTTCCAATGGTCTTAGCAAACGGCCCACCAGGAGATTATATCCTGCACCTGGCTCGGAGGGTCCCACGCCCACGGAGCCTCACTCATTGCTAGCACAGCAGTCTGAGATTGAACTGCAAGGTGGCAGTGAGGCTGGGGGAGGGGCGCCCACCATTGCTGAGGCTTGAGTAGGTAAACAAAGGGGCCGGGAAGCTGGAACTGGGTGGAGCCCACCGCAGCTCAAGAAGGCCTGCCTGCCTCTGTAGACTCCACCTCTGGGGGCAGGGCATAGCTGAACAAAAGGCAGCAGAAACCTCTGTGGACTTAAATGTCCCTGTCTGACAGCTTTGAAGAGAGTAGTGGTTCTCCCAGCACAGAGTTTGAGATCTGAGAATGGACAGACTGCCTCCTCAAGTGGGTCCCTGACCCCTGAGTAGCCTAACTGGGAGGCACCCCCCAGTAGGGGCAGACTGACACCTCACAGAGCCGGGTACCCCTCTGAGATGAAACTTCCAGAGGAACGATCAGACATCAACATTTGCTGATACCCAGGCAAACAGGGTCTGGAGTGAACTTCCAGCCAACTCCAACAGACCTGCAGTTGAGGGTCCTGACTGTTAGAAGGAAAACTAACAAACAGAAAGGACATCTGCACCAAAACCCCATCTGTACGTCACCATCATCAAAGACCAAAGGTAGATAAAACCACCAAGAAGGGGAAAAAACAGGACAGAAAAACTGAAAATTCTAAAAATCAGAGCACCTCTCCTCCTCCAAAGGAAAGCAGCCGCTCACCAGCAACAGAACAAAGCTGGATGGAGAATGACTTTGACGAGTTGAGAGAAGAAGGCTTCAGATGATCAAACTTCTCCGAGCTAAAGGAGGAAGTTTGAACCCATCTCAAAGAAGTTAAAAATCTTGAAAAAAGATTAGATGAGTGGCTAACTAGAATAACCAATGCAGAGAAGTCCTTAAAGGACCTGATGGAGCTGAAAACCATGGCACGAGAACTACATGATGAATGCACAAGCTTCAGTAGCCAATTCGATCAACTGGAAGAAAGGCTATCAGTGACTGAAGATCAAATGAATGAAATGAGGCGAGAAGATAAGTTTAGAGAAAAAAGAATAAAAAGAAACAAACAAAGCCTCCAAGAAATATGGGACTATGTGAAAAGACCAAATCTACATCTGATTGGTGTACCTGAAAGTGACGGGGAGAATGGAACCAAGTTGGAAAACACTCTACAGGATATTATCCAGGAGAACTTCCCCAACCTAGCAAGGGAGGCCAACATTCAAATTCAGGAAATACAGAGAACGCCACAAAGATACTCCTCGAGGAGAGCAACTCCAAGACACATAATTGTCAGATTCACCAAAGTTGAAATGAAGGAAAAAATGTTAAGGGCAGCCAGAGAGAAAGGTCGGGTTACCCACAAAGGGAAGCCTATCAGACTAACAGCTGATCTCTCGGCAGAAACTCTACAAGCCAGAAGAGAGTGGGGGCCAATATTCAACATTCTTAAAGAAAAGAATTTTCAACCCAGAATTTCATATCCAGCCAAACTAAGCTTCATAAGTGAAGGAGAAATAAAATCCTTTACAGACAAGCAAATGCTGAGAGATTTTGTCACCACCAGGCCTGCCCTATAAGAGCTCCTGAAGGAAGCACTAAACATGGAAAGGAACAACTGGTACCAGCCACTGCAAAAGCATGCCAAATTGTAAAGACCATTGATGCTAGGAAGAAACTGCATCAACAAACGAGCAAAATAGCCAGTTAACATCATAATGACAGGATCAAATTCATACATAACAATATTAACCTTAAATGTAAATGGGCTAAATGCTCCAATTAAAAGACACAGACTGACAAATTGGATAAAGAGTCAAGACCCATCAGTGTGCTGTATTCAGGAAACCCATCTCATGTGCAGAGACACACATAGGCTCAAAATTAAGGGATGGAGGAAGATCTACCAAGCAAATGGAAAACAAAAAAAGGCAGGGTTGCAATCCTAGTCTCTGATAAAACAGACTTTAAACCAACAGAGATCAAAAGAGACAAAGAAGGCCATTACATAATGGTAAAGGGATCAATTCAACAAGAAGAGCTAACTATCCTAAATATATATGCACACAATACAGGAGCACCCAGATTCATAAAGCAAGTCCTTAGAGACCTACAAAGAGACTTGGACTCCCGCACAATAATAATGGGAGACTTTAACACCCCATTGTCAACATTAGACAGATCAACGAGACAGAAAGTTAAAAAGGATATCCAGGAATTGAATTCAGCTCTGCACCAAGAGGACCTAATAGACATCTACAGAACTCTCCACCACAAATCAACAGAATATACATTCTTCTCAGCACCACAATGCAGCTATTCCAAAATTGACCACATAGTTGGAAGTAAAGCACTCCTCAGCAAATGTAAAGGAACAGAAATTATAACAAACTGTCTCTCAGACCACAGTGCAATCAAACTAGAACTCAGAATTAAGAAACTCACTTAAAACCAGTCAATTACATGGAAACTGAACAACCTGCTCCTGAATGACTACTGGGTACATAACGAAATGAAGGTAGAAATAAAGATGTTCTTTGAAACCAACGAGAACAAAGACACAACATACCAGAGTCTCTGGGACACATTTAAAGCAGTGTGTAGAGGGAAATTTATAGCACTAAATGCCCACAAGAGAAAGCAGGAAAGATCTAAAATTGACACCCTAACATCACAATTAAAAGAACTAGTGACAAGAGCAAACACATTCAAAAGCTAGCAGAAGGCAAGAAATAACTAAGATCAGAGTAGAACTGAAGGAGATAGACACGAAAAACCCTTCAAAAAATCAATGAATCCAGGAGTTGGTTTTTTGAAAAGATCAACAAAATTGATAGACTGCTAGCAAGGCTAATAAAGAGGAAAAGAGAGAAGAATCAAATGGACGCAATAAAAAATGATAAAGGGGCTATCACCACCAATCCCAAAGAAATACAAACTACCATCAGAGAATACTATAAACACCTATATGCAAATAAACTAGAAAATCTAGAAGAAATGGATAAATTCCTGAACACATACACCCTCCCAAGACTAAGCCAGGAAGAAGTTGAATCTCTGAATAGATCAATGACAGGCTCTGAAATTGAGGCAATAATTAATAGCTTACCAACCAAAAGAAGTCCAGGACCAGATGGATTCACAGCCGAATTCTACCAGAGGTACAAGGAGGAGATGGTACCATTCCTTCTGAAACTACTCCAATCAATAGAAAAAGAGGGAATCCTCCCTAACTCATTTTATGAGGCCAGCATCATCCTGATACCAAAGCCTGGCAGAGACACGACAAAAAAAGAGAATTTTAGACCAATATCCCTGATGAACACCGATGCAAAAATCCTCAATAAAATACTGGCAAACTGAATCCAGCAGCACATCAAAAAGCTTATCCAGCATGATCAAGGGGGGTTCATCCCTGGGATGCAAGGCTGGTTCAACATACGCAAATCAATAAACATAATCCAGCATATAAACCGAACCAAAGACAAAAACCACATGATTATCTCAATAGATGCAGAAAAGGCCTTCGACAAAATTCAACAACGCTTCATGCTAAAAACTCTCAATAAATTACGTATTGATGGGACGTATCTCAAAATAATAAGAGCTATTTATGACAAACCCAAAGCCAATATCATACTGAATGGGCAAAAACTGGAAGCATTCCTTTTGAAAACTGGCACAAGACAGGGATGCCCTCTCTCACTACTCCTATTCAACATAGTGTTGAAAGTTCTGGCCAGGGCAATCAGGAAGGAGAAAGAAATAAAGGGTATTCAATTAGGAAAAGAGGAAGTCAAATTGTCCCTGTTTGCAGATGACATGACTGTATATCTAGAAAACCCCATCGTCTCAGCCCAAAATCTCCTCAAGCTGATAAGCAACTTCAGCAAAGTCTCAGGATACAAAGTCAATGTGCAAAAATCACAAGCATTCTTATACACCAATAACAGACAAACAGAGAGCCAAATCATGAGTGAACTCCCATTCACTATTGCTTCAAAGAGAGTAAAATACCTAGGAATCCAACTTACAAGGGATGTGAAGGACCTCTTCAAGGAGAACTACAAACTACTGCTCAACGAAATAAAAGAGGACACAAACAAATGGAAGAACATTCCATGCTCATGGATAGGACAAATCAATATTGTGAAAATGGCCATACTGCCCAAGGTAATTTATAGATTCAATGCCATCCCCATCAAGCTACCAGTGACTTTCTTCACAGAATTGGAAAAAAACTACTTCAAAGTTCATATGGAACCAAAAAAGAGCCCGCATTGCCAAGTCAATCCTAAGCCAAAAGAACAAAGCTGGAGGCATCACGCTACCTGACTTCAAACTATACTACAAGGCTACAGTAACCAAACCAGCATGGTACTGGTACCAAAACAGAGATATAGACCAATGGAACAGAACAGAGCCCTCAGAAATAATACCACACGTCTACAACTATCTATCTGATCTTTGACAAACCTGACAAAAGTAAGAAATGGGGAAAGGATTCCCTATTTAAAAAATGGTGCTGGGAAAACTGGCTAGCCATATGTAGAAAGCTGAAACTGGATCCCTTCCTTATACCTTATACAAAAATTAATTCAAGATGGATTAAAGACTTACATGTTAGACCTAAAACCATGAAAACCCTAGAAGAAAACCTAGGCAATACCATTCAGTACATAGGCATGGGCAAGGACTTCATATCTAAAACACCAAAAGCAATGGCAACAAAAGCCAAAATTGACAAATGGGATCTAATTGAACTAAAGGGCTTCTGCACAGGAAAAGAAACTACCATCAGAGTGAACAGGCAACCTACAGAATGGGAGAAAATTTTTGCAATCTACTCATCTGACAAAGGGCTAATATCCAGAATCTACAATGAACTCCAACAAATTTACAAAAAAAAAACAAACAACCCCATCAACAAGTGGGCGAAGGATATGAAGAGACACTTCTCAAAAGAAGACATTTATGCAGCTAACAGACACATGAAAAAATGCTCATCATCACTGGCCATCAGAGAAATGCAAATCAAAACCACAATGAGATATCATCTCACACCAGTTAGAATGGTGATCATTAAAAAGTCAGGAAACAACAGGTGCTAGAGAGGATGTGGAGAAATAGGAACACTTTTACACTGTTGGTGGGACTGTAAACTAGTTCAACCATTGTGGAAGTCAGTGTGGCGATTCCTCAGGGATCTAGAACTAGAAATATCATTTGACCCAGCCATCCCATTACTGGGTATATATCCAAAGGATTATAAATCATGCTGCTATAAAGACACATGCACACATATGTTTATTGCGGCACTACTCACAACAACAAAGACTTGGAACCCATCCAAATGTCCAACAGTGATAGACTGGATTAAGAAAATGTGGCACATATACACCATGGAATACTGTGCAGCCATAAAAAATGATATGTTCATGTTCTTTGTAGGAACATGGATGAAGCTGGAAACCATCATTCTCAGCAAACTATCCCAAGGACAAAAAACCAAACACTGCATGTTCTCACTCATAGGTGGGAATTGGACAATGAGAACACTTGGACACAGGAAGGGGAACATCACACACAGGGGCTTGTTGTCAGGTGGGGAAGGGGAGAAGGATAGCATTAGGAGATATACCCATTGTAAATGACGAGTTAATGGGTGCAGCACACCAACATGGCACATGTATACATACATAACAAACCTGCACGTTGTGTACATGTACCCTAGAACTTAAAGTATAATAAAAAAAAATATATATATATATAAAAGAAACCTTCTGTATTAGTGAACTCAGGCTGCCATCACAAAATACGATCAAAAGGGTGGTTTGAAAAGCAGAAATGTACTGTTTCAGAATTCTGGATTCTAAACGTTCAAGATCAAGATTGGATACCAGTGAGAGCTCTCTTCCCAGCTTGTAGATGCACACAGACTCTGTGTCCCCACATGGCCTTCTCACTGTGTGTGATTTGTGGGAGGAGGAGTGGTGTGAACAAGCTCCCTGAGTTTCCTCTTAGAAGGACACTAATCCTATCAGATCAGGGCCCCATGCTTATGATCTCACTAATCTTAATCACTTCCTTAAAGGCCTTGTCACTATGTAAATCACCCTGAGGTTAGGCCTTCAACATGTACACTCTGGAAGGCTGTAAACCTTCAGTTCTGGCTGCTCCTCAGCCTGCTCCCCACATTTAGATATCAGCAGCTCCCAGCTCTGTGGGAGCCTCACAGGCACTGGATCATCAGGTTCTTCTCCCTCAGAGTTTCTCCTCCTCTCTCTGATTCAGATCCCTCTGCAGTGGCACTTGCATGGTCTTTCTTTATATTTTCCCCCTTCCTTGCATTCTTTTCTTCTTTCTGTTTTCCTTCTATGTAATTCTATACTTGTAACATTAAGGCATTTGTCAAATGAAGAGACCACCTCATAATTTCTGCATTAATAAACACAAGTCTGAATTTATTGCTTCTTAAAGGGAGGGAGCTATGCTGATCACTCAGTCTCTCTGAGACTGGACTTAGAATTTGTGGAAAGTGTGGAGTTCAGAGACTGGTTAAGGGCACAGACATCAGTGAGCTGGTGTTGATTGGTTGGCACTCAGAGCTGCTCATTGGACAGAGTTGCTTTCAACTGGCTTACTTTCAGAAGTGAGGGGCAAGCACTGACTGAGGGGCTTGCAGAAATATGTTCACCAAGGTGAGTGGCTGTGGTAGGCAGAGTAAACTCCCCTAAAGGGTTGCTGCTACCTCTATTAGTAAGAGGAATTGGATTTCACTCTCCTGCCTGGTAAAACAAAGAAAAAAATAAAACGGACAAAATATATGAAAAGAATATTTTCAAAATTACGGACATCAGGCGAAAAAGGACATCAGGCAAAAAAGTAATCCCTGAAGAAAGGCCCCAAACAGGTGAGCCCTATAATTGCTCTAACTTACTGCCTTGAGAGGGTTTCCAACTTAGGCACAGGGAGGGGAAAGTGAAGAGGAGCTCAGTGAGCCTTTTGAGTTGAGGACACTGAGCTGAGAGTCCAGGGAAGCCAAGATAGCAATGAGTCCATAGAGAGAGTAGCGGGGTGGAGCGAGCTGTGGAAAGTAAATCAGAAAGAACTGCAGAACATGACCCAGCATGCAGCATAGTGCTGATCCACATGAGGATGCCACTCAGGTTCAGAGGAAAAACCATTTGAAAAGATTAGAGAGAACAGTGCCTGGAACTCATACAGAGCTAGAATCATGCCTATTTCCCAAAGGATGACTGAAAAAAAGGCCTCATAATTCACAAGGCATAGAGTAGCGAACTCAGGAAGGTTTTGTCTCAGTAGTAAGAACTAATTGCCCCTAGACTGAGTACTGCTGTGGACCTCTTGAAACAAATTGTAAAAGCAAGACTTGAAATGATCAAACTGTTTGACAGCAACTTGACTGCCTTCCTGAACAAAACTCAAAGTTATAGGGACACAAAAATATGCAGCAACCAACAAAGTAAAATTCACAGTGTCTGGTTTTCTATCAAACTTTTGAGCCACACTAAAACAGGGAAATGACCATAATGAAGGGATAAATCAATCATGTTAAACTGACTCAGAGCTGACACAGGTGTAAGAATTACCAGAAAAGAACATTAAATCAGTTTTTATAACTGTATACTGTACATCCCCCAAATTAAGTAGACAAAAAAAAAAGATATAAAAATATTCAAGCTAACATTAAGAAAGAAAAACTGGGGCTTGGTGCTGTGGCTCATGCCTATAATTCCAGCATTTTGGGAGGCCTATGCAGGAGGATCACTTGAGCCCAGGAGTTCAAGACCAGCCTGGGAAACATAGTAAGACCCCATCTCTACAAAAACTAAAAAGAAATAAATAAAAACTGTGATATGTGAGAGGAAATGTCCTGCAAGGGATTAACAGAAAATTAGAAAATAAAGAAAAAAATATTGTAAATGTTAAGGCATAGCAAAGAAAAGTAGCCAAAAAGAAATACTGAGAAAAAAAAATAAAGGGAAAAGCATCAATGAGCTGTGGAGCAATTCAGCTGACCTCATATGTGGGTGATTAGAGTCCATCAAAGACAAACACAGTGATGGCAGAAAAACTCTTGGAAGAAATAATAATCCAAAACTCACCAAGCGAGGTGTGGTGGTACGTGCCTGTGGTCTCAGCTATTCAAAAGGTTGAGGCAGGAGGATCAGTTAAGCCCAGGAGTTTGAGAACAGCCTGGGCAATGTAGCAAGATCCTGTCCCAAGGGGGGAAACAACCCCCCAAAAAACAAAAATGTAATCTTACCAAATGTAATAAGAACTATAAATCCACATATCCAGAAAGCTCACTAGAGCTTTCAAGCACTAGAAATATGAAGAAATGACATCAAGGCATATCAAAAATTGCTCAATGATGATTAAAAACATCTTAAAAGAAACCAGAGGAAAAACACGCCTTATCTACGCTGGAACAAACATATTTTAAGGATGACATCAGATCTGTCACCAGCAACAATGCACACAAGAATACAGAGGAGTCACATCTTTAAATACCCACAGACTAAAATTGCCCACATAGAATTCTATACGCTGCAAAATTAGCTTTCAAAAAACAAAGGTGAAATAAAGATACATTCAAAAATATAAAATGTGAAAGAATTCATCACCAGCAGACCTGTGCTCCAAAAATGTTAAAGGACATCCTTCCTACAGAAGGAAAAAGGTATGAGATGGGAATCTGGGTGTCCACAAAACAATGTCAAGCACTAGAAATGGTAACATGTGAACAAATACACACATTTCATTTTCTTATTTGTTAAAACTCTTTAAAAGAAAATTGAGGCCCTGAGCAGTGGCTCATGCTGATAATCCCAGCACTTTGGGAGGCCGGAGCAGGTGGCTTGCTTGAGGCCAGGAATTTGAGACCAGCCTGGGCAACATGGTGAAACCCTGTCTCTACTAAAATACAAAAATTACACAGACATGGTGGTGTGCACCTGTAGTCCCAGATACTTGGATGAGGTACAAGAATAATTTGAACCCAGGAGCCAGAGGTTGCAGTGAGTTGAGATTGCACCACTGCACTCCATCCTGGGAAACAGCAAGACTCCTCAAAAAAAAAAAAAAAAGGAAAATAAAAAGAAAATCGATTGTATAAACAATAATAGCAATGGATTGTGGAATTTTTTAATTTTTAAAAAATTTTTATTTTTTTATTTCAATAGGCTTTTTGGGGAACAGGTGGTGTTTGGTTAAATGGACAAGTTCTTTAATAATTACTTCCAAGCTTGTGGTGTACCCATAAACTGAGCAGTGTACACTGTACCCAAAGTGCAATCTTTTATCCCTCACCACTTCTCATCCTTTCCTCCCAGTCCCCAAATTCCATTATATCATTATTTTGCCTTTCTGTCCTCATAGCGTAGCTCCCACTTATAAGAGGGAACATACTATGTTTGGTTTTCCATTCCCGAGTTACTTCACTCAGAAAAAATGTCTCCAACCCCATCCAGGTTGCTGCAAATGCCTTTATTTCATTCCTTTTATGGCTGAGTAGCATTCCATGGTGTGTGTGTGTGTGTGTGTGTGTATCACATTTTCTTTATCCACTCATTGACTGAGGGACATTTGGGCTGGTTCCATATCTTTGCAATAATCAAATTATGCCACTATAGACATGCATGTGCAAGTGTCTTTTTCATATAATGAGTTCTTTTCCTCTGGGCAGATACTCAGTAGTGGGATTCCTGGATCAAATGATAGATCTACTTTTAGTTCATTAGGGAATCTCCATACTGTTTTCCATACTGGTTGAACTAGTTTACATTCCCACTAACAGTGTATAAGTATTCCCTTTTCACCACATCCAGGCCAACATCCATTATTTTTTGACTTTTTAATTATGGCCATGCTTGCAGGAGTAAGGTGGTATTGCATTGTGGTTTTGATTTGCATTTCCCTGATATTTAGTGATGTTGAGCAATTTTCACATTTGTTAGCTATTTGTATACATATTTTGAGAATTGTCTATTCATGTCCTTAGCCCACTTTTTGATGGGATTTTTTTTCTTGCTGATTTGAGTTCCTTGTAGATTCCTAAAATTCATATGGAGCCATAAAGAGCCCACCTAGCCAAAGCAAGATGAAGCAAAACAAAAACAAAACAGGAGGCATCATATTATCTGACTTCAAACTACACTAAAAGCTCTTAGTCACCAAAATAGCATGGTACTGGTATAAATATAGGCACATAGACCAATGAAACAGAATAGAGAACCCAGAAATAAAGCCAAATACTTACAGCAACTTGACCTTTGACAAAACAAACAAAAACATAAAATGGGGAAAAACACCGTATTCAACAAATGGTGCTGAGAAAATTGGCAAGCCACATGTAGAAGAATAAAACTGGATCCTCATCTCTCACCTTATACAAAAATCAGCTCAAGATGGATAAAAGACTTAAATCTAAGACCTAAAACCATAAAAGTTCTAGAAGATAATATCAGAAAAACGCTTCTAGACAATGGCTTAGGCAAAGACTTCATGACCGAGTACCCAAAAGCAAATGCAACAAAACCAAAGATAAATAGATGGGATTTAATTGAACTAAAAACCTTCTGCACAGCAAAATAAATAGCACAGTAAACAGACAACTCACAAAGTGGGAGAAAATCTTCACAAACTATGCATCTGACAAAGGACTAGCAACCAGAATCTACAAGGAACTCAAACAAATCAGCAAGAAAAAACAAATAATTCCATCAAAAAGTGGGCTAAGCAACATTCAAATTCAGGAAATACAGATAACACCACTAAGATACTCCTCAAGAAGCGCAACCCCAAGACACATAATCATCAGATTCTCCAAGGTTGAAATGAAGGAAAAAATGTTAAGTGCAGCTGGAGAGAAAGGTCAGGTTACCCACAAAGGGAAGACCACCAGACTAACAGTGGATCCCTCTGCAGAAACCCTACAAGCCAGAAGAGAGTGGGGGCCAATATTCAACATTCTTAGAGAAAAGAATTTTCAACCCAGAATTTCATATCCAGCCAAGCTAAGCTTCATAAGTGAAGGAGAAATAAAATCCTTTCCCAACAAGCAAATGCTGAGGGATTTTGTCAACATCAGGCCTGCTTTACAAGAGCTCCTGAAGGAAGCACTAAATATGGAAAGGAGAAACCATTACCAGCCACTTTGAAAACACACCAAAATATAAAGATCAATGACACTATGAAGAAACTGCATCAACTAATGTGCAAAATAACCAGCTAGCATCATGATGACAGAATCAAATTCATACATAACAATATTAACCTAAAATGTAAATAGGCTAAACACCCCAATTAAAAGATGCAGATTGGCAAATCAGATAGAGTCAAGACCTGTTGGTGTGCTGTATTCAGGAGACCCATCTCATATGCAAAGACACCCATAGGTTCAAAAAAAAAAAAAAAGATGGAAGAATATTTACAAAGCAAATGGAAAGCAAAAGAAAGCAGGGGTTGCAATTCTAGTCTCTGATAAAACAGACTTTAAACCAACAAAGATCAAAAAGGACAAAGAAGGGCATTACATAATGGTAAAGGGATCAATGGAACAAGAAGAGCTAACTATCGTAAATAAATATGCATCCAATACAGGAGCACCCAGATTCATAAAACAAGTTCTTAGAGACCTACAAAGAGACTTAGACTCCCACACAATAATAGTGAGAGAATTTAACACCCCACTGTCAATATTAGACAGATCAACGAGACAGAAAATGAACAAGGATATTCAGGACTTGAACTCAGCTCTGGACTAAGTGGACCCAATAGACATCTACAGAACTCTCCAACACAAATCAACAGAATATACATTCTTCTCAGCAGCACATAGCACTTATTCTAAAATTGACCACATAATTGGAAGTAAAACACTCCTCAGCAAATGCAAAAGAATGGTAATCATAACAAACAGTCTCTCAGACCACAGTGCAGTCAAATTAGAACTCAAGATTAAGAAGCCCACTCAAAACAGCAAAACTACATGGAAACTGAACAACCTGCTCCTCAACAACTACGGGGTAAATAACAAAATTAAGGCAAAAATAATGTTCTTTGAAACCAATGAGAACAAAGAGACAATGTACCAGAATCTCTGAAACACAGCTAAAGCAGTGTTTAAAGGGAAATTTATAGCACTAAATGCCCACACAAGAAAGCAGAAAAGATCTAAAGTCGACGCCCTAACATCACAATTAAAAGAACTAGAGAAGAAAGAGCGAACAAATTCAAAAGCTAGCAGAAGACAAGAAATAATTAAGACCAGAGCAGAACTGAAGAAGATAGAGACACGAAAAGCCCTTCAAAAATTCAGTGAATCCAGGAGCTGGTTTTTTGAGAAGATTAACAAAATAGGCTGCTAGCCAGACTAATAAAGAAAAGAGAGAAGATTCAAATAGACACAACAAAAAATGATAAAGGGGATATCACCACTGATCCCACAGAAATACAAACTATCATCAGAGAATACTATAAACACCTCTATGCAAATAAACCAGAAAGTCTAGAAGAAATGAATAAATTCCTGGACACATACATACACACGCCCCCTCAAGACTAAACCAGGAAGAAGTCAAATCCCTGAATAGACCAATAACAAGTTCTCAAATAGAGGCAGTAATAGCCTACCAACCAAAAAAAGTCCAGGACCAGACAGACTCATGCCAAATACTACCAGAGGTACAAAGAGGAGCTGGTACTATTCCTTCTGAAACTATTCCATACAGTAGAAAAAGAGGGACTCCTCCCTAACTCATTTTATGAGGCCAGCATCATCCTGATAGCAAAACCTGGCAGAGACACAACAAAAAAGAAAATTTCAGGCCAGTATTCCTGATGAATATCCATGCAAAAATCTTCAATAAAATACTGGCAAACGGAATCCAGCAGCACATAAATAAGCTTATCCACCACGATCAAATCAGCTTCATCCTAGGATGCAAGGCTGGTTCAACATAGGCAAATCAATAAATGTAATCCTTCACATAAACAGAACCAATGACAAAAGCTACATTGCTACATTATTATCTCAATAGATGCAGAAAAGGCCTTCAATAAAATTCAACAACTTCATGCTAAAAACTCTCAGTATTGCGGCACTATTCACAATAGCAAAGACTTGGAACCAACCCAAATGTCCAACAATGATAGACTGGATTAAGAAAATGTGGCACATATACACCATGGAATACTATGCAGCCATAAAAAATGATGAGTTCATGTCCTTTGTAGGGACACGGATGAAATTGGAAATCATTCTCAGTAAAATAGCACAAGAACAAAAAACCAAACACCGCATATTCTCACTCATAGGTGGGAATTGAACAATGAGAACGCATGGACACAGGAAGGGGAACATCACACTCTGGGGACTGTTGTGGGGTGGGGGGAGGGGGGAGGGATAGCTTTAGGAGATATACCTAATGCTAAATGACGAGTTAATGGGTGCAGCACACCAGCATGGCACACGTATACATATGTAACCAACCTGCACATTGTGCACATGTACCCTAAAACTTAAAGTATAATAATAATAAAATAAAAAATAAAAATAAAAACTCTCAGTAAACTAGGTATTGATGGAACCTATCTCAAAATAATAAGAGCTATTTATGACAAACCCATAGCCAATATCATACTGAGTGGGCAAAAGCTGGAAGCATTTCATTTGAAAACCAGCGCAAGACAAGGGTACCTTCTCTCACCTCTCCTATTCAACATAGTATGGGAAGTTCTGGCCAGGCCAATCAGGAAAGAGAAAGAAATAAAGCGTATTCAAATAGGAAGACAGGCAGTCAAATTGTCTGTTTGCAGATGACATGATTGTATATTTAGAAAACCGCATCGTCTCAGCCCCAAAACTCCTTAAGCTGATAAGCAACTTCAACAAAGTCTCAGGATAAAAAATCAATGTGCAAAAATCACAAGCATTCCTGCACACCAATAATAGACAAGCAGAGAGCCAAATCATGCATGAACTCTCATTCACAATTGCTACCAAGAAAACAAAATATCTAGGAATACAACTTATAAGGGACTTGAAGGACCTCTTCAAGGAGAACTACAAACCACTGCTCAAGGAAATAAGAGAGGACACAAACGAATGGAAAAACATTCCATGCTCATGGATAGGAAGAATCAATGTTATGAAAATGGCCACACTACTCGAAGTAATTTATAGATTCATTTCTATTCCCACCAAGCTACCACTGACTTTCTTCACATAACTAGAAAAAATGACTTTAAATTTTATTTGGAACCAAAAAAAGAGCCTGTACAGCCAAGACAATCCTAAGCAAAAAGAACAAAGCTGGAGGCATCATTCTACGTGACTTCACACAAGGCTACAGTAAGCAAAACAGCATGGTACTAGTACCAAAACAGATATATAGACCACTGGAACAGAACAGAGGCCTCAGAAATAACACCACACATATACAACCATCTGATCTTCGACAAACCTGACAAAACAAGCAATGAGTAAAGGATTCCCTGTTTAATAAATGGTGCTAGGAAAACTGGCTAGCCATATGCAGAAAACAGAAACTGGACCCTTTCCTTACATCTTATACAAAAATTAACTCAAGATTGATTAAATACTTAAATCTGAAACCTAAAACCATAAAAACCCTAAAAGAAAACCTACGCTGGCATTTAGGACACTGGCATGGGCAAAGACCTAACGACTAACACACCAAAAGCAATGGCAACAAAAGCCAAAATTGACCAATGGGATCTAATGAAACTAAAAAGCTTCTGTTCTGAAAAAAAAAAAAAAAAAAAAACAACAAAAAACAAAAAACTATCATCAGAGTGAATAGGCAACCTACAGAATGTGAGAAAATTTTTGCAGTCTATCCATCTGACAAAGGTCTAATATCCAGAATCTACAAGGAAGTTAAACAAATTTACAAGAAAAAAACAAACAACCTCATCAAAAGTGGCCGAAGGGTATGAACAGACACTCGTCAAAAGAAGACGTTTATATGGCCAACAAACATGAAAAAAAGCTCATCATTACTGGTCATTAAAGAAATGCAAATCAGGCCGGACAAGGTGGCTCACGCCTGTAATCCCAGCACTTTGGGAGGCTGAGGCAGGTGGATCACGAGGTCAGGAGATCGAGACCATGTTGGCTAACAAGGTGAAACCCCGTCTCTACTAAACAAAATACAAAAAATTGGCTGGGCATGGTGGCGGGCGCCTGTAGTCCCAGCTACTAGGGAGGCTGAGGTAGGAGAATAGCGTGAACCCGGGAGGCGGAGCTTGCAGTGAGCCGAGATCACACCACTGCACTCCAGCCTGGGTGACAGAGCAAGACTCTGTCTCAAAAAAAAAAAAAAAAAAAAAAAGAAAAGAAAAGAAAAGAAAAAGCAATGCAAATCGAAGCTACAATGAGATACAATCTCATGCCAGTTAGAATGGTGATTATTAAAAAGTCAGGAAACAACAGATGCTGGCAAGGATATGGAGAAATAGGAACGCTTTTACACTGTTGGTGGGAGTATAAATTAGGTCAACCATTGTGGAAGACAGTGTGGTGATTCCTCAAAGATCTGGAACCAGAAATACCATTTGACCCAGCAATCCCATTACTGGGTATATACCCAAAGGATTATAAATCATTCTACTATAAAGACACATCGGCACGTATGTTTATTGCAGCACTATTTACAATAGCAAAGACTTGGAACCCACCCAAACGTCCATCAATGATAAATTAGATAAAGAAAATGTGGCACATATTCACCATGGAATACTATGCAGTCATAAAAAAGAATGAGTGCATTTCCTTTGCAGGGACATGGATGAAGCTGGAAACCATCATTCTCAGCAAACTAATGCAGGAACAGAAAACCTAACACTGCATGTTCTCACTTATAAGTAGGAGTTGAACAATGAGAACACATGGACACAGGGAGGAGAACATCACACACCGGGGCTTGTCAGGGGGTTGGGGGAAAGTGGAAGGAGAGCATTAGGACAAATACCTAATGCATGCAGGGCTTAAAATCTAGATTATGGGTTGATAAGTGCAGCAAACCACCTGGGCACATGTATACCCATGTAACAAACCTGCTTGTTCAGCACATGTATGCCAGAACTTAAAGTAAAATTTTAGAAAAGTGGGCCAAGGACATGAATAGGCAATTCTCAAAAGAAAATAAACACATGACCAGGAAACATATGAAAAAATGCTCTCAACATCACTAATTATCAGGGAAATGCAAACCAAAACCATAATGTGATACAACCTTACTCCTGTAAGAATGGCCGTAATTTTAAAAATCAAAAAATTATAGATGTTGGCTTGAATTTGGTGAAAAGTGAGCACTTTTTACACTGTTGGTGGGAATGTAAACGAGTACAACCACTGTGGAAAACAGCGCGGAGATTCCTTAAAGAACGAAAAGTAGATCTACCATTTGATCCAGCAACCCTCCTACTGGGTGTTTAGCCAGAGGAAAAGAAGTCATTATATGAAAAAGACACTTTCACACTCATGTTTATAGTAGCACAGTTTTCAATTGCAAAAATAGGGAACCAGCTCAAGTGCCCATCAATCAACAAGTGTATAAAGAAAATGTGGTTTATGTATACCATGGGATACTACTCAGCCATAAAAATGAACAAAATAATGGTATTCACAGCAACCTGGATGGAGTTGGAGACTATTATTCTAAGTGAAGTAACTCAGTAATGGAAAACCAAACATTGTAAGTTCTCACTCATAAGTTGGAGCTAAGCTACGAGGATACAAAGGCATGTGAATAATATAATGAACTTTGGGGACTCCAGGAAAAGGGAGAGGAAGGGGGAGGGATAAAAGACTACACATTGGGTACAATGTACAATGCTTGGGCAATGGGTGCACCACAATCCTGGAAATCACCACTAAAAAACTTCTCCCTGTAACCAAACACCTCCTGTTCTCCAAAAGTTATTGAAATAAAATAATTTTAAAAAGGGGAAATTAGAAATTGCTTTGAACTGAAGGAAGGTGAAAACATGAAAATGGAGAAGGGGGATTTATAGCATTAAAAGCCTATATTTATAAAGCCTATATTTATAAAAGCCCATAAAAATTTAAAAATTATTTCAAATCAGTGATTTCTGCTTCTACCACAAGAACCTGGAAGAATAAATTAATCTCAAAGTAAGAAGAAAATAAATTACAAAGATAAAGATGGAAATCAATGAAATAGTGTTGTGGGTAGAGAGTATGTTCTCATTTTGTACTATTAGTATATAGCAAAAGTTCATAGCAGTTTTTCTCTCTGCTGCCTTCTGTTAACCAAAAGGTTGCTGGGTCAGACCACACAAGAAACAAATCTCCTCAAATCCCACCAAAGATTTTTGAGCAGCTTCTGTTTCGAGCAACCCCCTCATTCTGCAGCCCTCACTTCTTCCCCATGATTTTTTCCTTTTGTCACCCAAAATGTCCGCAGAGCTTCTTCCAACAAACTGACTCTCCCCAGACCTTTATATGGTGCAACTGGTCTCCTTGCACTACCTGAGAGGCAGAGGCTGCCTTCATTTACCACATCTACTATCTGGATTCTGCGGGAGCTAGCAGGGCCAGAGACTGAAAGCCCAGGAACCCCTTCCTCAAGCATGTGACATCGGAGTCACCACCTGCTCTAAGTAACCATCTGCTGTTGACTCAGATTGTTGCACCTCAACATGCAGTGATCGTCACAGGATCACAGGACACCCAACCCTTTGATTCAGCACTTTCCTGTCCTTACTTTCATATCAGATTTTTATATAATGAAATGGACCCATTGTAAATATATGACTCAATTTATATAGAGTGTCTCAACCAGTACCATAATACACTTTTAGAACATTACCTTTACCTTCCCAATTTTTTCCAGTGCTCTTGTAGCGAATCCTACTGTCTCCTCCAGCCCCAACAAAACAATTAATCCGTTTTCTGCCTACAAATGTCAATCTTTCTGGACATATTACATAAATGGCATCAGACCATAGGCAGTCTTTTGTGACTAGCATCTTTCATTTAGCCTAGTGTTTTATGATTCATCCAGGCTGTAGCATGTATCAGATTTCTCTGCTTGTTAATTGCTGACTAGAATTCCATTGTGCAGATAATACCACATTTTATTTATTCATATAACAGTGATGGACATTTGTTTCCAGGTTTTGCTATCATGAATAACACTGCAACGAACATTTCAGAACAAGTTTTTGGTGGACATATGTTCTTGTTTCTCTCAGATTTCTAAGTGTGAAATAGCTGGGTTATATGGTAAACTTATGTTTAACTTTTTTTTTTTTTTTTTTTGTTGAGATGGAGTCTCACTCTGTCGCCCAGGCTGGAGTGAAGTGGCGCGATCTCGGCTCACTGCAAGCTCCGTCTCCCGGGTTCACGCCATACTCCTGCCTCAGCCTCCCGAGTAGCAGGGACTACAGGTGCCTGCCACCACGCCTGGCTAATTTTTTGTATTTTTTTTTTTTTTTTTTTAGTAGAAACGGGGTTTCACCGTGTTAGCCAGGATGGTCTCGATCTCCTGACCTCGTGATCCGCCCGTCTCGGCCTCCCAGAGTGCTGGGATTACAGGCCTGAGCCACCGCGCCCAGCCGTTTAACTTCTTAAGAAGCTGCCAAAGTGGATTTCAAAGTACTTCTATCATTTTACATTGTTACCAGCAATATACGAAGGTTCCGGTTCTCCACCTTCTCAGCAAACTTGCTGTTCTCTTAATTTTTTTTTCTTTTTTATCATAGCTACACTAGTGAGTGTAAAGTGGTATCTTATGTTGTTTTTATTTGCATTTTCCACTGACTAATGATATTCAGCACCTTTTCATGTGGCAATTACCCGTATATATGCCTTTAGAAAAACACAGCGTTAGACTAATGGTTTTACTTCATGTAGTCACTGCATTATTTCATTCTCTTCTTCATTTTTGTATTTTGTTTTTTATATTTGTTATGTATTACTTCTCAAAAGCTCTAAGGATCTTCCATTGCTGATTATGCTAAAATTTAAGAGTGATTAAGGGGAACCGATTAATATGTTTTTTCATTTTTAAAAAAATAAAGTAAAATTTTAACATTCCTTTGATCATTCATCACTACATGTTATGGCTTAGTCTTTTTCTTATGTGGACTTATTTTTAATAGACAATATATCTTCTCTTGAGTAACCTTTACTTTTCCAAATCAACATTATGCAAAATTATATATATACACATCATATGTACACACATATATACATATATATACACACAGATATGTCTGTGCATGTGTGTGTTTCATCCGATGCACGATGGAAGACAGTAGCAACATTAGTTTTGTACAGAGTTTTCAATTTAGAGAAAAAATATGTCATGTGGGTTAAAATTTTATTTTATATTTCCTTTTCAACTTTTATTTTCGGTTCAGGCAGTACATGTGCAGGTTTGTTACATGAGTAAGTTGTGTGTCACTGGGGTTTGGTATACAAATGTTTTTGTCACCCAATTAGTGAGAATAGTATTTGATAGGTATTTTTTCCACCCCCACCCTCCTCCGACCCTCCACCCTCCTCCTACCCTCCACCCTCAAATAGACTCTGTTGTCTATTTTTCCTTTGTTTCCACGTGTACTCAATGTTTAGCTCCCACTTATAAATGAGAACGTGCGGTATTTGGTTTCCTGTTCCTGCATTGATTTGCTTAAGACCTTCGTCTATGTTGCTGCAAAGGATATGTTTATGCCTTTAAAAAAAAAAAGGCATAGTATGTTATGGCTGCATAGTAGTCCATGGTGTTTATGTATCACATTTTCTTTACCCAGCCCACCACTGATGGGCATCTAGGCTAATTCCATTTCTTTGCTATTGTGAATAGTGCTGTGATGAACATATGAGTGCATGTGTCTTTTTGGAAGAACAATTTATATTCCTATGAGTATATACCCAGTGATGAGATTGCTGGTTTGAATGGTAGTTCTATTTTAAGTTGCTGGAGAAATCTCCAAACTAATTTACACAGTGGCTGAACTAAGTTATATTCCCACTAGCAGTGTTTAAGTGTTCAATTTTCTCTGCAACCTCACCAACATCTGTTATTTTCTGACTTTTAATAATTGCCATTCTGACTGGTATGAGATGGTAGCTCATTGTGGGTTTGATTTGCATTTCTTTGATGATTAGTGATGTTAAGCATTTTTTCGTATGCTTGTGGGCCACATATATGTCTTCTTTTGAGAAGCCTTTGTTCACCTTGTTTGCCCAGTTTTTAATGGGGTTGTTGGTTTTTGCTTGTTGATTTAAGTTCCTTATAGATTGTGGATATTATATCCTCGTCAGATGCATAGTTTGCAATTATTTTCTCCTTTCTGTAGGTTGTCTATGTACTCTGTTGATAGTTTCTTTTATTATGCAGAAGCAATTTAGTTTACTTACATTGTACTTGTCTGTTTTTTCATTGCTGCTGTTGTTGTTGTAATTGCTTTTGGAAACTTAGGCATGAAATCTTTGCCAAGGCCTATGTTCAGAATGGTACTTCCTAGGTTTTCCTCTAGAGTTTTTATAGGTTTAGGTCTTACATTTAAATCTCTAATTCATTTTACATTGATATTTGTATGGTGAAAGGAAGGGATTCAGTTTTAATCTGCATATGGCTATAGCCAGTCATCTCAGTGCCCTTTATTGAACAGGGAGTCCTTTTCCCATTGCATGTTACTGTCAGCTTTGTCAAAGATCAGATTGTTATAAGTGTCATGCTTTATTTCTGTGTTCTCAAACCTGTTTCATTGGTCTATGTGTCTGTTTTTGTACCAGCACCATGCTGTTTTGGTTACTGCAGCCTTGTAGTACAGTTTCAAGTTAGATAGTGTGATGCCTCTGGCTTTGTTCTTTTTGCTTATGATTGTTTTGGCTTTAGGCTCCTTTTTGGATCCATATGAATTTTACAATATTTTTGTCTAATTCTGTGAAAAATGATGTCGGTAGTTTGTTAGCAATAGCGTTGAATCTACAAATTGCTTTATGCAATATGGGCATTTTGACAATATTGATTCTTCCTATCCGTGAGCATGGAATGTTTTTCCACTTCTTTGTGTTGTCTCTGATTTATTTCAGCAGTGTTTTGTAATCTAGTTGTAGAGATCTTTCTACTCCCTGGTTAGCTGCATTCCCAGGTATTTAATTCCTTTTGTTGCTATTGTGCGTGGGATTGCCTTCTTGATTTGGAGCTCAACTTGGACGTTATTGTGTATAGAAATACTACTGATTTTTGTATATCAATTTCGTACCCTGAAACTTGACTGAAGTCATTTACCAGTTCTAGGAGCATTTGGGCAAAGACTATGGGGTTTTCTAGGTATAGAATCATATTGTCTGCAGAGAGAGAGTCTGACTTTCTATCTTTCTATATTAATGCCTTATTTTCTTCCACTTGTGTGATTTCTCTGTCTAGGGCTTCCAGTCCTGTCTCTACTACCGTGTAGATGAATATGAATAATTTCATATTCATCCAAAGTAAGCTCCATAGTGAAGGAGAAGTAAAATCCTTTTCAGACATGAAAATGTTAAGGAAATTCATTACCACCAGACCTGCCTTACAAGATGTCTTTAGGGAAGTGTTAAACATGGAAGCAAACAAATGTCACCTGCCACCACAAAAACACGCTTAAGTACACAGCCAATGACACTATATTCTACCGTGTTAGCCAGGATGGTCTCGATCTCCTGACCTCGTGATCCGCCCACCTCAACCTTCTAAAGTGCTGGGATTACAGGCCTGAGCCACCACGCCCGACGGATTGGTAAATTTTTTATTACTGATTAAATTTTGGAACTCATTACTGGTCTGTTCAGGATTTCTGTATCTTCGTGATCCAGTATGGTGTGTATATTCCCAGGATTCATCCCTTTCTTCTAGATTTTCTGTTTTGTGTGCACAGAGATATTCATAATAGTCTCAGATGGATTTTTGTATTTCAATGAGGTCGTCAGTGATGTCACCTCTGTCATTTCTGATTGTGTTTATCTGGATCTTCACTCTATTTTTCTTCATTAACCTAACTAGCACTCTATTCATTTTATTTACTCTTTCACAAAACCAATTTTGGTTTTGTTGATCTATGGATTTTCACATCTGAATTTCACTCAGTTGAGCTCTGGTTGTGGTTGTTTCTTTTTTCTGTTAGCTTTGGGGTTGCTCTTGTTTTTCTAGTTCCTCTAGGTGTAAGGTTGTTAATTTCAGATCTTTCTAACTCCTTGGTGTAGGCATTTAGTGTATAAACTTTCATCACTGCTTTAGCTGTGCTCAGAGGTTCTCATATATGTTTGTTTTCATTAGTTTGAAGGAATTTTTTTAAATTTCTACCTTAATTTCATTCCTTACCCAACGCATTCGGGAGCAAGTTGTTTAATTTCCATGTAATTATATGGTTTTGAGAGATCTTCATGGTATTGTTTTCAATATTTATTGCACTGTGCTCTGACAGTGTGGTAGGTACAAGTTTTCTAGTTTAATTAGGTCCCACTTATTTATTTATTTAAGTCCCATTTATTTATTTCTCTTTTAGTTGCATTTGCTTTTGGGGTCTTAGTCATGAATTCTTTGCCTACAGCAATGTCCAGAAGAGTTTTTCCTAGGTTGTCTTCCATAATTTTTATCATTTCACACCTTAAAGTCTTTGTCCATTTTGAGTTGATTTTTATATAAGGTGAGAGATAGGCTCTGCCTTCATAAATGGATTAATGCCATTATCACAGGAGAGGGTCCTTATAAAAGGGGGTGTTTGGCTTGCTTTTCTCCCTCTCTCTCACAAACCAGTGTGATGCCTTTGCCATGTTATAACATAGCAAGACAACCTTCACCAGAGACAGTCCCTCAGCCTTGGACTTCCCAGCCTCCAGAATCATAAGCCAAGTAAATTTCTGTTCTTACAAATTACACAGGCCAGGCATGGGGGCTTATGCCTGTAATCCCAACACTTTGGGAGGCCAAGGCGGGCAGATCACAAGGTCAGGAGTTTAAGACAAGCCTGGCCAATATGGTGAAACCCCGTCTCTACTAAAAATACAAAAATTAGCCAGGCGTGGTGGCACACACCTGTAGTCCCAGCTACTGTGGAGGCTGAGGCAGGAGAATCGCTTGGACCTGGGTGGCGGAGGCTGCGGTGAGCCGAGATCATACCACTGCACTCCAGCCTGGGCAGCAGAGCAAGACTCCATCTCAAAAATAAATAAATAAATAAATGAATAAATAAATAACACAGTCTGTGGTATTATGCTATAACAGCATAAAAAAAGACTAGGACAAGGACTCATAGTTGCTTTTTGAGTTCTGCAAAGGTTTATAACCCTCCTTTAGCATATTATGACCAATATGCTATGACTTTCTCGGCTGCTTTCTTTAAAATAAATGGGTCAATAAACTAATTTTTAAAATATGCAGTCTGAGCAGAGTGAGAGTATCAAAACATCCAGCAGTGCCTTCAGAAACACGGGCTCTGCATGAAACTAGGGAAGTGGGCACTCTACTACAGTACTCTAGAGATCTGAGGGCTTACTGTTTTGCTTCTGTGGACTGCAAATACATTCCTGAAAGGATTCTGTACTTGTCCAGAGAGTTCTTTATCTTTCTGGATGAGGTGCAGATTTCTTGGAGTCAAAAATTTCAATAGGCACTTAATCCCAACCATCTCCCAGATGACAACTGCTATGGTCTTCTTTATATTTAATTCCTAGCCAAAAATCTTAATCACATAATATAACATTCTACTACGCTCTTCTGGTGGTCTCTGGCTTAATTTAGCTCAAGTTCCACAATTTTCTCCACTCTCCTACTTTAGGTCTCAGGTCCTCTTCCCTTGTATACAAGGTTCCTAACTCTTCTCACCTTAATTGGGATGGGCCTGAGTGAAACACAGTAACCCAGGGGCCATGAGACAGAATTTTACTAATTTGTGTCACAGGCCTGCAAGGTAACCCATGGGGAGGCTGATCTTTAAACTGTGCTATCTGAGAAACCACACAGAAATGTGCCTCTGTGTTAAACTCAACTTCTGATACCACAGATCTTATAATATTATCCAGTTATTTTCTCTCCAATGCTTAGAAAGAATTGCTGGCATTTCTTCTTGATTCATTCTAGATTCAAGTCTCAGTGTTCATGTTACATTGTGATAACCATTTTTACATAAAGGTTATCTGTCAAGCGTTCTCAGTACTTAAGAGCAAGAAAGAGTATCAGTCAGGCTTGGACTCAAAGAGAACTGAGAGGCTGCACACTAAGAATGTGGGCTAAATCATCATTTTTAAAGTTTTTTACAAAATATCCAAGTCACAGCCAAGATTATGGCTGACAGCAGGATCTTACGCAAAATGAAGGCCCTGAAGGTGAGAAATGAGCACAATCCTTCATAAAGGGGGAAATGTTAGGAGATTTGCTTAGGGCACTTACCTCTCTAAACTTAGTTTCTTCATTTGAAAATCAGGATAATAATCTCAACCTTCTAGTAGAGTTGATAGAATTAAGCAAGAGAATCTTTAAAAGTGCTTTGAAAGGGTACTTGGCACATATCAGGCACTTAATAAATTTTAATTTTCTAATTTCAAAAAAGACAGATTAGACTTTGACCTCGATACAATAATCAAAAAGCCTAGACTTCTACCTACTCTAAAGAGAAGTCTTTTACTTAGAAGCCAGCATTTTCTAACTAGATCTATGGTAATAATGTCTGAATTGATCTCCTTGGCTCTATTATCTCCTTTTTTTTTTTTTTTTTAACTAGATGGATTCTTGCTCTGCTGCCCAGGCTGGAGTGCAGCGGCACAATCATAGCTCACTGCAGCCTCTAACTATTGGGCTCAAGTGATTCTCCTGCCTCAGCCTCCCAGGTAGCTGGGACTCCACACATGTGCCACCATGCTAATTTTTTATATTTTTTTTGTAGAGGCAGAGTCTCACTTTGTTGACCGGGCTGATCATGAACTCCTAGCCTCATGTGATCCTCCCATCTAAGCCTCTCAAAGCATTTGGTCTACAGGTGTGAGCCACCACACCTGGCCCTATCTCTTCTTTCAATGGTTTCATTCTATTGTCAAAGTTACCTTCTTACACTAGAGAATGTTATTAGCATATATAATCCAAAGCCCCTATTGCCAACCTACAGCAGTAGCCTTGTAGCTCACTATATCTTCCTATATACTATACATTTTCAAATGACCAGGTTACTTGCAATCTTCCCAATGTTCCATGAACTCCATTTTCATGTTACTGTTCAAGTTGTTTCATCAACTTGGAATGCTTTTTAAAACAACTACTGCCATCACTCAAATTTCTTACACACCCATTCCCCCAGGGTTCACATAAGATTTACCTTTCTCTCTTCTGTTGATCTGTGGCTTAATTTAGCTCAAGTTTCACAGTTCTTTCCACTCTCCTACTTTAGTTCTCAGCTCCTCTCCCCTTGTATGCAAGGTTCCCAACTCTTCCCACCTTAACTGGGATGGGCCTGACTAAAATATTCCTCAAAAGTATCTTCTTCTCTTTGTTCTAATTCCACATCAGTCTTCTTATTACCTATTAGGTTTCCAAGTAGTTTGACACTAGGAAACAGTGTGCCCTGGAGAAGGGATGAAAGTTCTTTGGTTAATGGAAAGTATTAAACACCACTATAAATTAATGGGTTTGCTTTGTGATCTATATCTCAATCCTGTGAGCAATTTTTGTTAATCTAGTACCAAAAAACTGATCATTTTAAGGAAATTAATGAGGTCAAACTTTTGGGCCATCAAGGCTAAAAATCAAAGCCTGGACTTCAGTCAGTTGAGCCAGGCGTCCTTCATTTGAGGCCTGTTAGTGTCCAATCAGCCCATTACCACTGTCTCTCCACTCATTTATTTAATCCCAGGAAAGAATATAATTTTTTTTATAAAAGTGAAGTGAAGATATTTAGGGCATCAACGCTGAAGTAAGAATTGCTTCAACAACTATAAGATAATGGATTTAATATATAAAATTCTTTCACTTGAATGTTTTCAACCAGAAGATAAATAAAATTTGTCCAGTGTTGGATTTGTTATCAATGCCAACTTCCTTATATAAGCTGAAAATATCAAGAATTAAAATGAACCAACAGTGTTCACATTTACAAATAAAAAGGCCCGGAGATGTAAGAAAGATGTTATCGTTATTCCATCTAAAATGTGATAGAAGGAATTAGAAACCAATTTTCCATTTTGCTTAAGTAAAAGAAACAGACTCCAAATTATTTGCTATAACATCAATTTTAAATGCACTGATTTTTCTGTTAGTGTATAAAGCATTTTCAAGCTCAGCTTTTTTAAAATAAGTTTTCAAATGTAAAAACGTTTTCAAAGATAAACTCCTATAACTGACCAAATGTTTTATGTTACATTCAAATCAAATCAAGAACAAATTTTAAATTAGGATTCAAGGGAGAGTAGTAGAAAATGTAAATAGTATTCTTTGGATATTAAATATTTTAACTTATTCAAGAACTTTATAAAAATTATTATTTAATTTATGTATTTTGTAATAATGAAAAAATATTTTAACAATTATCTGACATTTCTTTCCTCTTAGGAAAAGATAACATCTCTTTATAACACAGGTATTATCTTACAATTAAGTGATTACAATGACAACAATTTTATATATCACTTCCAGGTTAATCCAAAAAGTGGCTTCACTTTCTCATAGGCCACACAGCCAACGCCTACTGCAGGAAGCACCTTTATGATGTTTGAGGTGAAACCCCTGTAAAATCCCAATTTTCCTTCTTTGGTATATATTTCTTGAATGAGCTGAATCATAGAAGTTGTTTTTCCTTTTTCCACTGGGGCTATAAATTGGAAAAAAGTATAATTCAATATTTAATATTTATAAATTAAGAAAATCCAATGATAAATGGGAATTTACAGAGATTGAAATTACTTCAGAATATACCTCTCTCCCTACCTGTAGAATGTCTTGTGCTGTTCAATATGGTACCCACTGGACACATGCAGCTATTTAAATTTAAATTAATTAAAATTAAATAAAACTAAGAATTCATTGCCTCAGTTGCACTGGTAACAATCCCAAGTATTCACTTGGGAATAGTGACTATCATACTGAATAGCACAGATATAAAATATTTCCACCATCACAGAAAGTTCTATCAAACAACACTTGAAAGTCTTTCATGAGGGACCTCAAAGGAATATTTGGAATTGGATTTGACACAAATAGTTAGAGAGGAAAGGATGGGTGATGGGATGGATAGAGAGATTCTCCACCTGGAGAATGTAAATTAAAACCAAAAATCTAACTAAAAAGACAAGAAGAAGGAGAATGTAAAATAATATCACTTAACACATGACCTTTAAACAGTTTAGTCAAGAAGATAACAATAGGATTGTGTGGGGGTTTTTGCCTTCTTGAAAAGTGATAAAGATATTTTCTTAAAAACTAAATTCCTAACATTTCACTAAGACAAAACAGATATCCTCCCTTTTCTTAATATCTCTTCCTTAAGTAAATTGGAAAAAAAAATTGAGTTCAATTCCACAAATGTATTAAGTTCCAGTTGCAGAATATGACAATAATAGCAGAACTAGGGTAAAATTACACGATCATATGGAATAACTGTTTATTTGAAAAAACTATAATCTTTTCTATTGTTCTGCATGGTACTTTCTAATTGTAAACTCCTTAAAGAGATCATTAGTAACTGAAGAAAATGTGGAGAGTTCCAAACAATACTTTGAGAGGAAATAAAATCTAAAATGCACAAAAAGCTTTAGTCAGTAAAATAATAAATTCGGGATTCTTGCTTATCAATTCTACAGTTTTTGTCTTTGAAGTCATTAATTTATACTCATTTAAAACATAATTTTAAACTTATTATTCATTCTTTTAAAAAAAAAAAACTCACCTGAAGCCTGCATGCGAGTTCTAATAAGGTTCACAGAGAAACTGGCTAACTGACCACAAGTATTAGACAATGTACTACATCCCACCAAAATCATTATCCCAGGATTCACAGAGTTTCCTGCATAATTTTCTAGCCAAAAATTCTTCAAAATCTGGCAGAAAAGAGAGTAGTAAATATATTACTGCACAAATACTATGAAATAGAAAACAAAACCTACTACTATGCAACTCTAAATGGAATAAAGTTTTAGTAAGGTGGGGGCTATCCCTGTAGTTTTTTTTTTGTTTTGTTTTGTTCTGTTTGTTTGTTTGTTTGTTTTGTGAAACAGAGTCTTGCTCTGTCGCCCAGGCTGGAGTGCAGTGGCGCAATCTCAGCTCCACCTCCCGGGTTCACGCCATTCTCCGGCCTCAGCCTCCTGAGTAGCTGGGACTACAGGCGCCCACCATCATGCCCGGCTAAATTTTTTGTATTTTTAGTAGAGACGGGGTTTTACCGTGTTAGCCAGGATGGTCTCGATCTCCTGACCTTGTGATCTGCCTGCCTCAGCCTCCCAAAGTTCTGGGATTACAGGCGTGAGCCACCGCGCCCGGCCTCTATTCCTGTAGTCTTATCAGGGACAGGGAGAACTAATGTTTTCAAACCAACATATTCATACAGCCTCAGTTTGAGTTCCCCTGCGTTTTGTTTTGGGTTTTGGTGTTTTTGTTTGTTTGTTTTTGTTTTTTTGTTTTGGGGGGGGGTTTGCTTTGCTTGTTCTTTGGTTTGTAATTATATTCAAACAAAAACCTGGAGATTCTCACAGGGATCAACACAATATTTTAGAGAGGAAGACTACACAATCCACTCCAGGTTAACAAAATCACATTTTCTCAACTTTTAAGAGTCCTCTTTCCCTATTTTCTTTTTCTTGCATAAAAGTGACTGGAAGAAATTAAGAAATATTGAGTTTAAAACATCACTAAGTGCTTCCAGAACTGTTTATTTATTAAAGGACAGCAACTTTACCATTATGGACTGCAATGATTACTACAAAATGTATAATTTGATGCTTTTGAAAAAATAAATTTTGAAATGTCTTTACTCAGTATGCACTTATTACAGTCATGTAACAATACAAAGAGAGATGTGTAATGGCATCTGGCAAATGTGTAAAGCAGAAGATACTGAACCATAGAAATCAAAGAATGAAGGCAGCCCAACACAAACAGCAGCAACAAACTTATTGTAATAAGATCATAGATGCAAGAAAACAAAAAGAAAAATAAATGCCTGCTATAATATTCAATACTTTAAACATCTACGAAAATATAAGTGTACTTGTAAAAGTGCTAAAGGAAGTTATCTGTCTTTCACTTGATGATGACACCACTTGCCAAAAATTCCACTGGGCTTGTATCTAGAGAACTGTCCTTCCTCCACTGAGAATGAATTTATTCTAATCACACACCTTCACCTGGTTCTTATGACAAAATGGTATATATATTGCTAAGATGCTCTTCCTGAAACAGATGTATGGCCATAGAAATGAAATGATCAGTTGAAAGGGGAGTAAGCTGGCATCCTGCCTCTGCATTACACTATCAGCTTTTTTGTCCTATCTCCATCCTGCCTTTCTTCCTCAAGCCACAATTACTCCTATCCTCCATTCTCATTTTTACAGCTGTGTGATAATATCTCAGCTTTCACAGTCTTACTTATACAACAGATTTTTCTGGGCAGTTAAAAAACCTGAATCCTAGGCCTCTCCTCAGGATAATTTTTAAAAAATTTTAAATCTATTTATTTATTTTGAGACCAAGTTATGAGACTGGCCAATTTTTGTATTTTTGGTCAAGATGGGATTTCACTATGTTACCAAGGCTGGTCTCAAACTCCTGGGCTCAAGGGATCCAACCCCCTCAGCCTCCTGAAGTGCTGGAATTATAGGCCTGAGCCACCGCACTCCACCTCCTCGGGATAATTAAATGAGAATATCTCAGGATGTGGCCCAAGAATCCTATTTTTTAAAGATCCATATGTATGTGATTCTGATATGCATCCAGGATTGAGAACCACTGTTTTATCAGAACTTAACATTATTATTACCAAAAACTGATTCACAAAAAAAAACAAATAAAAAATTATTACTAGAATACCAGATATGTAACATATAAAATGGAAAATCAAATAAAACCATTCAATTCACTCTTTGTCAGAAGCTGTTTTAATGAAAAGTCATTTATAACCATATTTCTACAATAAAAATTGTTGTTCCATATTTGCAAATCTAACATATAATTGTCATATTATGAGAATAAACTCACCTCATAAACAGCAAGATCTATGCCGGCATAAGGTACAATGCCTAGCAAGTTAGGAGTATAACCTTTGAAAAAGGATCTGACACCTTCTTGTTTTAGAAGCTTCTTGCCACAATCAATAATCCCTGAATACTCTCCAGTTTTACCTATAGCCAGTCTGGTCTTTAGTACCTAAATGTAAAAGAATATAAGAAAGATATATTGATCAGATTCACCCATCTTATTTAGCAATCCAGGGATTTGCATTATCTCATGATGTTTATAAATCAGAGAAATCATAAAAGAAAACAATTGTAAACATGATTGTAACTTCTCAATAACTGGCTCTTACTTATGAACAACTGATACAGTACAGAGATATTTTAAAATTATTCAAGCAGGAAAATAAAATCAATCCCAGTGTCTTTGAGTGATATATCCATGCAAATTCCTTTAATGTGCCGAAAGGCAACATGTTCTGAAATAAATTCATCATTGCTTCGGAAAAAAGAAAACAGCCAAAATTCAAGGTAAAACATATATGGTCATGTTAAAATAAAGAACCAGTATGAATAAAACATTCTACATATGCTTAAAGTACATACTCTGGTAACTATTTTAACAGTGAGGCCCATAGACTGCAATTTTATATAACTTGGGCTCATTCTGTGCTCATAAAGTATTGATATTCCAGAAGCTATAAGGACAATAGTAGGCCCAGGTAGGCTGTATATGATCAATATTCCTATGCACAATTTCATTCTCCTGATAGAGTCTCACTCCTTGTCATCTTAATTCTATTAATTTAAAGGTGCTTTATACATGCTTGGAGAAATGGCTCTCTAAAACAGCCAGGACATGTACCTCTCGTATCTAAAATAAAAGCTAAAATTTTTTTTAAGTATAAACTTTGTCTTGATTGAGAAAACTGTGTATCTTGACGGGGCTGCCTCTGAGTGGTCAGTAGGAAGCCTTTTGTTTTATGGACTTCTCTGCGGAACTAGACACGTTGGGTAGTCCCATTTTTAAAACTCTATCCTCTCCAGGGCAGTGCACTCTCCTCTTACCCAAGTAAATCTTTTCTGTCTGCTTCACTGGCATGTTTTTCTCCTCTCACTCCCTAAATTAAGGCCTTCTCAAAAGTCATCTTCTCAGCATTTTTTAAATCATTACTTTTTCATAGGCAATCTCCTGGCCTCAAATAACACCTCTCTCAGGTGACACACCAACACTTGAAATCTTAAGTCTCAGTATCACATTTGCAACGGCCTACTGAAAATCATAACTTGGTGGTCCCATCAACAGCTCAGTTTAAATACGCATAAATCTGAACTCATCACCTCTCTTGAGTCTGGCTCACTTCCTCCCGTTCTCTACCTGTTTTCAAGATGTAACTCAGATGCAACTCTCCTAAACACTCAGGCACAGGACCCAAATAGAACTTCGCCCTCTTCCTTTCCCCTGCTTTCTACTTTTCGAGTTGACAGTTCTCAAGACAGCTCTATCATGAGTTAATTTCCCCTAGTCACCATCATATTTCGAACTCTTATTATCAGTTCCCCGAATGATGGTAATATCTTGCATCTGGTCTTCCCATCTTTCTAGTCTTTTTTGCTGTGTTGCCCAGGCTGGAGTACAATGGTGCAATCATGGTTCACTGCAACCTTCACTTCCTGACAGAAGAGTGATCCTCCCACCTCAGCCTTCCGAGTAGCTGGTGCTACAGGCACACTTCATCACACCTGGCTAATTTTTGTATTTTTTGTAGAGATGAGGTTTCACCATGTTGCCCAGGCTGGTCTCGAACTCCTGGGCTCACGCAAACCACCTGCCTCACCCTCACAAAGTGCTGGGATTACAGGCATAAGCCACCACACCCAGCCTCTATTCATGTCTTTCATGAGATCCCCAGCTTGAAATAATTTCTCCCCTTCTCAATTTCCATAGCACTTCATATTGATCTTTCTATAATTTATCATTTTTATTTTAGATTATTATTGATGTGCATGTTTTATTTCCCCTTCTAGACTACAAGCTACATGGCCAAAAATCCCTGTATGACTCTTCTCTCGATCCTGCATAGCGCCTAGCAAAATACCTTAAACTTAGTAGGTGTACAATACAAATTTACTCACTGAATGAATAAGTGATTCTATCAATCAATCAATCAATCAACAAAATTGTTTATCTTCTTGGTTCATATACAGTAATACCTGTGTCCTAAACAACAACCATAAAATCTACTGAGGCTGACTTTTTTTTTTTTTTTACAGACATGCACCACCATGCCTTGCTAATTTTTGTATTTTTAGTAGAGGTGGGGTTTCACCACGTTGCCCAGGCTGGTCTCAAATTCCCGAATCAGGTGATCCACCCACCTTGGCCTCCCAAAGTGCCAGGATTATAGGCGTGAGCTACTGTGCCTGACCACCAACTCACTCTTGATATAAGATTTTAATCCTATGGCTATAAAGCTGCTTATTGTACAAAATACTTACCTGAGATTCATTTATAAAAAGTTATAATTTGCATTAAAATATGACTTTAGTTAAAATTTTATAATACATACCTCCATGGGGTAAATACAGGTCTGGGCAGTTACACCAGCCAATGAGCCAAATATAAATCTTTCAAGAATTCCTAAATGAACACCATCAAAACTAAGCAATTTCTTATACTGTATAAAAAAATTGAAATGTATAATATTAGTGAAACAAGATATATATTGTTTCTATATTTATGACATTAATTAATTAGTAGTATAAAATTATATTTAAAAGTATACTAGATACCCAATATTAGCACAACCTAGCAGAATTCCTTTCATTTTTATGCAATTGATTATCTAAGATAATAAGTAAAGCCCTTTCATTTAGTCTCGCTTCCTCTTTTTGGTAGAATAAGTTGACAATATTAAATCACTTTATGCATATTTATGAATGTTCTATTTCATAAGAGGCATATAAATGACACAAATGAGACGGAGATCATATCTTTTATCTCTTTTCAGCACCACACTTTACATACAGAAAGCACTCAATATTGTTTGGTTACTGGATAGTCAGGAATAGTAACTTAATGTGAGAGCCTTTTTATTTTTATTTTTAGAGAAACACTTTACTCCTTAGCCTAAGTAATAGCTAGTATATCACAAGAACACATGTGGAGAAAAAGAAAATGTAAATCTAACCTTTAGATAAGGCTTCACAGGAACTAAAGTCAACTTTCATTGAGATTAAAACTGGAAAACCACTTAGAATCCAAGATAGCTCTAGTAAGCATATTCTTTATAATGAATACTAGATATAATATTCCTTTTATTCATTTATATGTCTTCCTTTTAGTAACAGGGCTGACTCGGCTACACATTACATTTCCTTTTTCTCCTTCTTAGATAGGTTATGTGGCTAGGTGTCTAATTTTGGCTAATGAGCTATGAGGGGAAGTTGCATATACAAATTCTGAGACATCACCTTAAAGACACTTGTCTTTCCTCTACCTAGGAAATGGTAAAGACAGGTACAACCTTTGAAGCCAAATTGTATTGAAAATGGCAGAGCTGTAATGTTAACCCTGGATCACTTGCCTCTATCTTATTGAAGTTACTGTATTTTGGAATCTTTTTGTTACAATAGCTTAGAATAAACCCTAACAAGTATAGAAATTTGTTCATGGATATAGGGTGCTGCCATAACTGAAAGCTAAAATATGTGGCACTTGCTTTATTGTTAGGAAAGGACACAGACATTACAGGCTAAGAAGGTGATGACCTTTTTGATGTTTTATGGAAATGCTTGACTGAACTGCCTCCTGTGATAATTTTGAAGGTAGACTGTGTGAGCCTGAAGTTCTAGGAAACCTCACTGTAAAATCTCAGAATGTTGTTAGTGTTGTTTGCTCCTTGCTGCTTTAAGGAAGATCTATGAGACAATGCTAAAACATTGCTCTAATTTATGCCCCAAGGCCTTCTCCAAAGCCACTTTACAAGCAGAAGTGGGAGGAATAGAGCTCTGCTAAGGGAGCTTTCTTTGCCTGGATTGAGAGTCAAGAAACATGGCACTTCAGATTTGAAAGGCACCTGCTTCTGTAACCCAACAGAAGAAAATAAGGTTATACTAAAGAGCTTGGCTATCTGCAAAAATCAGATGTTGCTATAATAATCTCAAAGATCACTGACCACAGATCACTGTAACAGACATAATACTAATAGATTCTTGCAGGACAAGTCCTTTGATGACCTTGACAACCAAGCTCTTCCCTTTCTTGCTTGTAGTTCTCAAGAATAACTGTAGAATGTGCTGGAAATGCAACATCCTGAGATAGGGGTAACTGGCCAGACTAGCCTGGGCTCAGTCACCAAGCCTCCTAAAACAGGATATTCTACAGCACTAGCCCACATGCCAAGTTGCCCCTGAATATAAAACCCAGAGCTGAGTGCCTTTCAGAGTCTCTCAGCTGCAGTGTAACATGGGACACATGTAGACAAGACTCCATCCACCCTGGATGGACTTCCTGAGCTTTGGGGGACTGGCTTGCCATGAATTCTACGCTACTGTTGGCCCTTACTGCCTATCTATGAGTAATAAAGTTCCTTTGCTTAATTTATTGTGTGTGTTCTGTCTCACCAGAACCATGCAAGTGGTAGAGTAACCAATGCACAGTGAACCTGCTTCACAACCCTGAGACAAGGCATTGGAGGTGATGCTAGAACATATTGGTAGGGGACTGAGGATGTGAGAAAGGGAATAGCGAAAGCTGATAAAGTATGTGTTACTAAGCAAGCTGCAATGATATGCAACTGGGGCTTAATCTTGTTAAGAACTTCTGGGGAATAATATAGACCATAGACTTCAGAATTATCCTACCCAAGTGAACAAGGGCATTAGGGTATTCATCTACTAGTGCCCATCACTTATTAGTGAAAGCTGCTCCCAGGGGCCTTCATTCCCTATCATTTCCAGCCTGCCATTTCCAGAAACAGAACAGGCTCCAGAGGCCAGAGGAAGACCTTAGGCAAATAGATTTTAGATGCTGGAAGGTAAAAGTCAGGTCACCTTTCACTGATATGGTAAAGCCCAAGGATACATAGGTGAGCACTTATATATATGGTATTTTACTGCATAGTGGTAACAGTGAATGGGGTAATGATAGCAAACAAAAAGAGAGAAGAACAAAGCAACTAAAAGTTCAGATTCCTCAGGGATAAAAGCCCATGTTACCCACCGAACAAAAAACTAGCCAAAGTACTGGCCAAATGAGATAACAAATATCAAGTATAGCTTTGAGAACAGTTACAATAGTATTGGTTATAATTCCCTCCTGTTGGGTAGAGGAAACAGCATATGAGAAGGACCTGAAATAAAAAGGAGCATAGTGTACTAGAATAAGTGAAAAAAAAGCCAGTTTGGCTGCAAAGAAGAATGAAAGTGAAGAAGAGGGCAGAGGCCAAGTCATTTTGCACCTTGCTAGTCAAAATAAGGATTTTAGATGTTGCAATTAAGAGAAATGAGTGACCAGTGGAGGGTTTTAAGGTAGAGAGATGACATAACCAGATTTATCTTTTTAAGAGACTACTCTGGTAGCAGTGTGAAAAATGGATTGGAGATATGAAGATACCAGTTGGGAATCTATGGCAGTAGTCCAGGCAAAAGATGACTGGCCAGCAATACTGATTAAGAGATAAGAAATAATAGATTTCTGGATGTGTTAGCAAGATGGTGGACTAAAAGGTCTCAACATTAGTCCCCCACAAAAACAATGTTTAAACTACCTACCGATTAAAATAGCTTTGAGAGAGCTCCAGAGTACAATGAAGGAGCTGCAACAACCCAATGGAGCACAAAGCTGAGACTGACCACAAAGGAAAACACAGGAAGCATTTTACCTTTGTCACCCTAACTCTCAGTCCTGTCCAGCTCTGCACCAAGAGAGATCTCCCAGGTCACAACTGCCCTCTGGTGGGAGGAAACAAGAGCAGAAAGACCCCAGCAGCCTTCACCACCAAGGACTACCACAGCCTTTGCCAGTGCTTCCCTCAGCTGACAGCTGCCTGAAGTACACATTTCTGTGCCCCACAACCAGAAAGTGCTGCCACTGTGCCCCGTCCAGGCCAGAGCCATGTACTATCCAGCACATACCCCCATACCCCAGCTCGGCAACTGTTCCACTCATGCCTGCATTCCAAACATTAGCACCACCACTGCCCCACACATACTTGTGCCTCAGATTCCGATAACACACAGACAGTTTGTGTGTTCTACACTCCAGATCTAGGCACCACTGCCACTCTGTGTGTCCTGGACAATGGCACCACCACCACTATGAGTACCCTTGTATCCCAGACCCTAGTACAAAGAGGGATCCTCTCAACCACAACTTCTCCCCATGAGTGAAAAGGAGAGAAGGGCATGCCAGCAGCCTTCACCACAGAGGACCTAATCAGCCCTCACTGTCACTGCAGGCACCTTTAACCTTGGTCGCCAGGGACCACTGCAGTCTTTGCTGATGTGGACCTAAGCTGATGGAGATGCCTGCAGTCTATGCTGCTATACTTCCCCTTTAACCAAAGCTGCCGCACTCCAGCCATCCACACCCTCACACCTACCTGCAGACGATGGTTTTCCCCCACCAAAGCCAGTCTGTAAAGCCTAGAAGTGACTCTTCCTTCAAATGTTTAAATGCAAACACAAAGTTACAAAGAACACAGGAAGAAATCATGGAAACTTTTCATCACCAAAAGAATATAATAATTTTCTAGTAACTGGACCCAAAGAGATGGAGATCTACAAATTGCCTGACAAATAACCCAAAGTAATTGTTTTAAAGAAGTTCAGCAAGCTAGAGAAACATATGTCAACTTGAAGACAGGTCATTTGAAATTATCCAGAAGAGAAAAAAGAAAAAAGAATGAAAAAAGAAATTCTATGGAATTTATGGGACACCGTCAAGCAAATCAATATATGCATTATGGAAGTTCCAGAAGGAGAAGAGAGATAAAAGGGGAGAAGAGAGATAAAAGGGAAGTAGAGAGCTTATTTAAAGAAACAATGGCCGAAAACTTGCCAAATCTTGAAAGGGAAATGGACATCCAGGCTCCTGAAACTCAAAGATTCCCCAAACAGGATCAACCCAAAGAGGAATACACTAAGACACTTTAGGATCAAATTAAATTGCCAAGGTGAAAAACAAAGAGAATTCTGAAAGCAGTAAAAGAAAAGTGACTCATCATATATAAGGTGAACCTTATAAAACTATTAGTTAATTTCTCAGCTAAAAGATGTATAACAGCAAAGTGTGGAATGATACAGTCAAAGCACTAAAGAAGAAAAACTCTGTCAATCAATAATACTATACCTGGAAAAATTACACTTTAAAATGAAAGACAGATAAAATATTTCCCAGGCAAACAAAAACTGAGGGAGTTTGTCAACACTATACCTGTTGTACAGAAATGCTTAAGAGAATTCCTCAAATTGAAAAGAAAATATGCCAAACAGCAATGCAAAAACATGTGTAACAATAAATCTCACAGGAAAAGGTAAATATATAGACAAATATATATTAATGTAACATTGTAATGGGGATGCACAAATTACTTTAAGTGTAATATGAAAGTTAAAAATATAAAAATTTGTTAGCAAAATAAACTATCAACAGATCAACAACAGATCAATAGAGTAAACAAACAACCTAGAGAATGGGAAAAAATTTTTGCAAACCACACATCTGACAAAGGTCTAATATCCAGCATCTATAAGGAACTTAAATAAATTTACAAGAAAAAAAAAAACAAACCACCCCATAAAAAAGTGGGCAAAGGACATGAACAGATACTTCTCAAAAGAAGATATACATGTGGCCAACAAGCATATGAAAAAAACAACTCAACATTATTCATCATTAGAGAAACGATCAAAACACAATGAGATACCATCTCACACCAGTCAGAATGACCATTATTAAAAAGTCAAAAAATAACAGATGCTGGCAAGATTGTGGAGAAAAAGGAACACTTACACTGTGGGTGGGAGTGTAAATTAGTTCAAGCATTGTGGAAGACAGTGTGGTGATTCCTCAAAGACCTAAAGATAGAAATGCCATTTGACCCAGCAATCCCATTACTGGGTATATACCTAAGGGAATATAAATCATTCTGTTACGAAGACACATGCACACATATGTTCATGGCAGCACTATTCACAATAGTAAAGACATGGAATCAACCTAAATCCCCATCAATGATAGACGGGATAAACAAAATGTGGTACATATACACCCTGGAATACTATGCAGCCATAAAAAAGAATGAGATCATGTCCTTTTCAGGAACATGGATGGAGGAGGTGGAGGACATTATCCTTAGGAAACTAATGCAGGAACAGAAAACCAAATACTACATGTTCTCACTTATAAGTGGGAGCTAAATGATGAGAACACATGGAAACATAGAGGGGAACCCCAGTGTTCCCCTCTGGGAACCTGGGGCCTATTAGAAGGTAGAAGGTAGGAGGAGGGAGAGAATCAGAAAAAATAACTAATAGACACTAGGCTTAACACCTGGGTGACGAAATAATCTGCACAACAAGCCCCCATGACACACATTTACCTATGTAACAAACCTGCACATGTGCCCCTGAAGGTAAATGTTCAAAAAAAAATAAAAAATAAAAACTTTTTAAAAATTAAAAAAGTTGTTAATGAATACACAATACAAAAAGTATCAAACTCTGATTATAAGAACACAGAATGAGAGAGGGAAGTAAAGTGTAGAGTTTTTGTATGTGACTGAAGTTAAGTTGTATCAACTTAAAATAGATTATTACAATTACAAATATTTTATGCAAGTCTCAAAGTAACCACAAAAGAAAAACTCTGATACACAAATGACAAAGTGAAAAGAGTCAAAACAAATCATTGCAAAAAAAATCATAAAATAACCAAGAAAGACAGGAAGAGAAGAAAACAACTGCAAAACAGAAAACAATTAACAAGATGGCAATAGTAAGTTTTTACCTATTAATAATCACTTTAAAGGTAAATGCATTAAACTCACCAATCAAGAAACATACAGTGGCTGAATGGATACAAGAGACCCACTTTATATATATACATATGTTGGGTTTTTTTTCTCTTATTTTCGAGATAAGGTCATCTTCCTCTGTCATCCAGGCTGGAGTGCAATGGTATGATCATAGCTCACTGCAGCCTCGAACTCCTGAGCTCAAGTGATCCTCTTGCCTCAGCCTCCTGAGTAGCTAGGACTACAGGAAGGGCTTTTTTTTCTTTTTGTAGAGATGGAGGGGTCTCACTATGTTGTCCAGGATGGTCTTGAACTCCTGGCCTCAAGTGACCCTCCTGCCTCCGTCTCCAAAAGCACTGAGATTACAGGTGTGAGCCACCATGTCTGACCTCACTTTATATTTAAAGACACATATGGGGTGAAAGTGAAGGGATAGAAAAAGACAGTTCATGCAAACAGTAACCAAAAGAAAGCATGCATGGCTATACTTAGACAAAATAGACATCTCCAGACACAAAGAATGACACTATATAATGATAAAAGGAGTGATTGAACAGGAAGATATAACAAATATAAATATATGTGCACCCAACATCAGAGTTCCTAAATATATAAAGTAAATATTGACAAAACCGAAGGGAAAGATAGCAATGCAATAATAGTAGGGAACTTTAATACCCCACTTTCAGTCATGGATAGAACCCCCAGACAGAATATCAATAAAGAAACAGGTGATTTAAACAACAAATAAACCGAATGGACCTAACAACCATATATAGAACTTACCACCCAACAGCAGCAGTAGAATACTCATTCTTCTCAAGCATACATGAAACATTCTCCAGTACAGACCACATGTTAGGTCACAAAACAAGTCTTAACAAATTTAAGAAAAGTAAAGTCATTCCAAGTATCTTTTATGACCACAATGGAATAACACTGGAAAATAATAAGCAACAAGAAAATGAAAAAAATTCACAATATATGCATACTAATCAACATACTCTTGAACAACTAATAAGTTGTTTCAAAAGCAATTTAAATTCCAATTTCTTTCTTTTTTTTTTTTCTTTGAGATGGAGTTTCGCTCTTGTCGCCCAGGCTGGAATGCAGTGGTGCAATCTTGGCTCACGGCACCTCCACTTCCAGGGTTCAAGCGATTCTCCTGCCTCAGCCTCCCAAGTAGCTGGGATTACAGGCGCCCGCCACCACGCCCGGCTAATTTTTTGTATTTTTAGTAGAGACGGGATTTCGCCATGTTGGCTAGGCTGATCTCAAACTCCTGACCTCAGGTGATCTGCCCACCTCGGCCTCCCAAAGTGCTGGGATTGTAGGCGTGAGCCACCGCGACCAGCCAAACCCCAGTTTCTAGAAGGAAACCAAAAGAGAATTTTAAACATATCTTGAAGAAAAAAAAAACTACAAGATATCAAACCTTACAGGATGCAGCAAAAGTAGTACTAAGAGGGAATTCTATAGCAATACATGCCTGGATTAAAAAAAAAAAAAAGATCTCAAGGAAGCAACCTAATATGAAGAAACTAGCAAAAGAAAAACAAACTAATCCCAAAATTAACATAAAGAAGGAACTCATAGAGATTAGAGAGTAGAAATAAATCAAATAGAGAATAGAAAGGCAATAAAAGAAATCAATAAAGCTGAGTTGCTGTTGCTGTAGTTGTTGGTTTTTTGTTTGTTTTTGAAGATAAACAAAACTGACAAAACCATAGCTAGACTAAGGAAAAAAAGAGAGAAGGCTTAAATAACCAAAATTATAAATAGGCCGGGCTTGGTGGCTCACGCCTCTACTCCTAGCACTTTGGGAGGCCAAGGAGGGCGGATTACCTGAGGTCAGGAGTTCAAGACCAGCCTGGCCAAAATGGTGAAACCCCATCTCTATTAAAAATACAAAAAGTTAGCCAGGCATGGGGGCGGGCACCTGTAATCCCAGCTACTCCAGAGGCTGAAGCAGGAGAATTGCTTGAACTCGGGAGGCGGAGGTAGCAGTGAGCCGAGACCGTGCCATTGCACTCCAGCCTGGGTGACAGAGCGAGACTCCATCTCAAAAAAAAAAAAAAATAGTGGCCGGGCGCCGTGGCTCATGCTTGTAATCCCAGCACTTTGGGAGGCCAAGGTGGGCGGTTCACGAGATCAGGAGATCGAGACCATCCTGGCTAACACAGTGAAACCCGGTCTCTACTAAAAATACAAAAAAATTAGCCGAGCGTGGTAGCACGAGCCTGTATTCCCAGCTCACGGGAGGCTGAGGGAGGAGGATCACTTGAACTCGGGAGGCAGAGATTGCAGTGAGCTGAGATGGTGCCACTGCACTCCAGCCTGGGTGACAGAGCAAGACTCTGTCTCAAAAAAATAATAAAAATAAAATAAAATTAGAAATAAAAAGGAGCATTATGTTACAAAAATAAGGATTATAAGAGACTTATAAGGCTTGTAAGAATTATATGCCAACAGATTGAATAACTTGAGAGAAACTGATATATTCCTAGGAAAATACAATCTACCAAAACTGAATGAAGAAGAAATAGAAAGCCTGAACATACCAATAACAAAAAGGAGATTGAATCAGTAATCAAAAACTTCCCAACAAAGAAAAGCCAAGGGCCAGATGACTTCATGGACAACTTCTACCAAACATTCAAATAATTAATACCAATCCTTCTCAAACACTTCCAAAAAGTGGAAGAAGAGGGAACACTCCCAAATTTATTTTATGAGGACAGCATCATGCTGATTCTAAACCAGACAAAGATAACACAAAAAAAGAAAACTACAGGCCAATATCCCTAATGAACACAGATACAAAAATCCTTCATAAAGTACTAGCGAACTGAATTCAACAGCACATTAAAAGGATCACACACTATGACCAAGTGGGATTCATCCCTGGGGTGCAAAGATGGTTCAGTATACTCAAACAATCAATGTGATACAACACAATAACAAAATGAAAGGAAAAAAACACACATAATCATCTCAATAGATGCAGAAAGAGCATTATTTAACATTCACTTATAATTAAAATGCTCAGCAAAATAGGCATAGATGGAACTTACCTCAACACAATAAAGTCCATATATTAAAAGTCCACAGCTAACGTCATAATAAATGGGAAAAAATTGAAAGCTTTCCCTCTAACATCCAGTATAAGGCAAGGATGCCCACTCTTACTACTTCAACATAGTACTGAAATCCTAGTTGAAGCAATTAGGCAAGAAAAAGAAAAGACATAACTAAAGAAAGAAGTAAAATTATCTCTGTTTTTGATGACATGGTCATATATATGGAAAATTCTAAAGACTCATCTCCCCAAAAATGTTGTAATAAACCAATTCAGTAAATTTTCAGGATAGAAAAATCACCATACAAAATTCACTAGCATTTCTGTACACAAACAATGAACTATCTGGAAAGGAAATTAAGAAAATAATAATCTTTAATCTTTTTGCCATTCACAATAGCACAAAAGATTAAAATATGTAGGAACAAACTTAATCAAAGAGGTTAAAGACTTGTACACTGAAAATTATAAAACATTGATGAAGGAAATTAAAGAAGACACAGATAAATAGAAAGACATCCATGTCCAATGATTGAAAGAATTAACATTGTTCAAATGTCTATACTACCCAAAGCTATCTACAAATTCAATGCAATCCCCAAAAATTCCAATGTTATTCCTTCTATAGAAATTTTTTAAAAATCCTAAAATTCATCTGAAACCACAAAAGACCCTGAATAGACAAATCAGTCTTGCGCAAGAGGAACAAAGCTGGGAACATAACCACTTTCCAATTTCAAAACATACTAATTATAAAGCTATAATAACCAAAGGAGGATGGTAGTAAAGACAGACAACTAGACCAATGGAACAGAAGAGAAAGCCTAGAAATAAACCCATTTATCTACAGTCAACTGACCTTTGATAAGATGCCAAACACATGGAATGGGGAAAAGATAGTCTCTTCAACAAACAGTGTTGGAAAAATTGGATATTCACATGTAGAAGAAAGAGACCCTTATGTCACACCATATACAAAAACCAACTAAAAATGGATTAAAAACTTAAACATCAGGCCTAAAACAATACCACTACTAGAAGGAAACATAGGGGAAAAGCTTCTTGACATTCATCTGGGCGATGATTTTTCAGATATGATACCAAAGCATAGGTAGCAAAAGCAAAAATAAACAAGAGCAATTACATCAAACTAAATATCTTCTGCATAGCAAAGGAAATAACTGGCAGAGTGAAAAGGCATCCTACAGAATGGGAGAAAATATTTGCAAATCATATTTCTGATAAGAGTTTAGTATGCAAAATAGGTAAGGAACTCACGCAACTCAATAGCAAAAGAAACAAACTGATTGTAAAATAAACAAAGAACTTGAGTAGACGTTTCTTCAAAGAAGACATACAAATGGCCAACAGGTATATGAAAAGCTGCTTAACATCACTAATAATCAGGGAAATGCAAGCCAAAACCACAGAGAAATCACCTCACACCTTTTAGAAGGACTACTATCAGAAAGACAGAAGATAACAAGTGTTGACCAAAAAAAATGTGAATTAAAAAAAGAATTCTTATACACTCATGATGGGATATAAATTGCTATATCCATATAAAGAACAATATGTAGGTTCCTCAAAAAATTAAAAACAGAACTACCTGATGATCCAGCAATCACACTTCTGGGTATATATCCAAAGGAAATGAAATCAGTATCTCAAAGGGATAATTGCACTCCCATGTTCATTTCAGCATTATTCACAATAGCCAAGATATGCAGGCAACCTAAATGCCCATTGATGAATAAATGGTTAAAGAAAATGTGGTATATAATGGAATATTACAACGGAATACATACAATCCATATGATGGAATATTATTTAGTCTTTAAAAAGAAGTAAATCCTGCCACTTATAACAGGGATGAACCTGGAGGACATTATGCTAAGTGAAATAAACCAGATACAGAAAGACAAATACTATACAATCTTACTTATATGTGGGATCTAAAATAGTCAAACTCATAGAAGCAGAAAGTAGAATGGTGATTGCAAGGGCCTGGGAGGAGGGAGAAATGGGGAGATGTTGGTCAAAGAGTACAAAGTTTCAGTTATTCAAAGTGAATCAGTTCTGGAGATTTAATGTACAACATTGTGAATATGGTTAACAGTAATGTATTGTACCCTTGAAATTTGCTAAGAGAATAGATCTTAAAGGTTCTCATCACACATTTCCAAAAAGACGCTGGTAACCATGTGAAATGATGGGTATGTTAATTAGCTTGATTTTGATGATTACCTCACAATGTATAGGTATATCAAATCATCAAGTTGTATACCTTAAATATACTATTTTTAATTGTCAGTTATACCTCAATAAAGCTATAGGGGGAAAGAACAGGCAAAAAAAAGATATAAGAAATAATAATAATAAAAATAAATAAAAGAAAGAAGTAATAGCATCCCTTGATGCCAAATAATTAGTTTGTATTTTTTTCAAGCTACAAGTTTACAAGGAAATTTCTTACCCTTCATGGTGACATTTCTAAAATGGTTTGTGTAAAGAAAAGAGTTAATACAGCAGGACTAAAACTGCTACCTTTAGAAAAGACTGCCTGCAAAGTTGGCCCTTGGCTGGTATTTGGTAACTTGGATTTGGGAAGGGTTCCCATCATTCCCTGATAAGAATGGCTCGCTGTGCCTAAACTTTTTATGCAAGCAATATTATTTGAGCTGAATATCTGCTTTCCTTGTAGGAGTCTGAAATATTGGAACATGCCATGCAGAGAGTACTTATGTGAGCAATCCCAGTGAAACTTTGGGCACTAAGTCTCTAATGGGATAGACATTTCATGTGTTATTATAACTAATTGCTGGAGGATTTAAGCGTGTGGCATGTGACTCTACAGGACACTTGAAAGCTTACATCTGGTTTCCTCTGGTCTTCACCCTATGCACTTTTTCTCTTTGGAAATTTTGCTCGTATCCTTTCACTGTAATGAATTAGAGCCACAAGTGTGACTATACACTGAGTCCTGTGAGTTCTCCTAGCAAATCACTGAACCTGGGGGTGGTTTTGCAGACCCTGACAGTCTAAAGTATCTGTTAATTTTTTAGACATTCTAACCATTTTTCCAGCTTAACACATGACAGTTGACATTCACATTTGCCACACATTTCCATGGGTTATGTTTTATGTACAATTCCATGCATGCCAGTATAAGGCCCTCTTTTCTCTCCTAGTTGCAAGTAAGTAAAAGTGCCCATTATGTTAAAAATATAGTCTTGTCTATTACAAAAAATAGAAATGTGTATAAATGCTTGTGTCAGATATTGTTCTAGGCACTTTATATACATGTTAATTCATTTAATTCCCACAACAACCCTAATCATTATTTCTTCTATTTTAAGTTAAGGAACATGTAAGAAAACTGAAGCACACAGAGGTTAAGAAGCTTGCTGTATTTTGCATAGCTAGCAAGTGGTAGAGCTAGGATTTGAACTTAGAAAGCCTGGTTCCAGTACCAGACCTTAAGTACTACCTTATAAAATCTCCCTTTTGAGTAAATCACTCATAAACTTTGGTATTTAACTACTATTAATCATAATTTACAACAAATCTCAGTTAACCATTTTAAGCCACACTGATATGTCCTACCAGTCTGACTGAGAACCTGTACTCTAACATAGTATTAGAAACATTGTCCCAAGGTAGGAGAACTGGGACCAAGGACAGGATTCTAACTGTGACTGTATTGCCAACTAAATGTGTAACTTCAAGTAACTTATCCTCTCTTGCCTCAGTTTTTACATCTATAAAATGATGACACTAGGCTCTTAGTAACACTCACTGATGTGCTGTCACTATTCTGGGAATGATGCTATGGTCCCTATTCTAAACAAGCATAATATTTTTCTGGAAGACATTGTTTAAAATATAGGTTTTAAAAAAGAGGACACAAACTGGTTAAGTGGCAGAGGCTGCTAGTGGTATCCCAAGAATCAATCTTCCTTTTTTCCTAAGAAACAAAAATCTACAGTTGTACCTATTGTTTCCCAGTTAAAGACTATATACTTAGATTCCTCTTCAACTAGATGTGTTCATGTGTCCAAGTTTTGGTTAATAATATATAAGCATAAGTATTGTATGTCACTTTGGGGAAGTGTCCTGCATGGAATGGGACATGCCCTTCTTTGCTTCTTCCCCTAGTTGTTACCTGAAACTTAGATGTCATTGCTGGAGTTCCAGCTCAGACTCATGGAGACAAGGATCATACCCTACAGAGGGTAGACAGTGAGCTGGTTGCAAGTGAGTTTCTTTTCACCTTCAAGGCACTTCCATACCAGTCCTAAATTCCCTATCCTCGGACTTTGTGAGAAAGAAAGAAAGTTCTATCTTATTTATGTCACTATTGTTTGGGGTTTTCTGTCACATGCATCTAAACCTAATTCTAGTTTACATAAGTGGTACAGGCAATAAATATACTAGGGCAGAAAGAACAGACACCAAAATAGGTTACTTCTCAGGAAGGGAAACACTTTAGTTCTTGAAATAATTTCGATATGTTAGAAGGAGAAAAAGGGTAACTCAATTAGAAAGAAAGTGTGAGCAAAATCAAGGAGATAGGAAAAGCACAACTTGTTAAGGTATAAGAAAAAGATTCTCTTACTTGAAAAGCAGTATTTGTCAAGCAGCAGTACTGGACATGTTAAGTAGGGATAAATTATGGTAAGTTTTAATGCTGGGATAAGAACTTTATAGAGGGTCCGAGAAGTAAAATAAAATCTCTATTACAACTTAAAATATTACAGCTTATTTTACCTGACCCCACACAACACTCCTCTCATGATAAGATGCTCTGCTATGGGTTAAGGAAAAAACCTGAGTCTTCAAGAAAAATCTAGGGAAGTGGAAAGTGGGTTAACCAGAGAAGGTAGGGCTTCTAGACAGTGAGGAAACAAATGAGATTATATTAATAAATAAAATTGGGCAGGAGCAACTTCTGTTTTTTGCATCTTATGTGGCATTTCTTTCATTCTCTTTTTCCCCATAAGGTGGCGTGCCCTTGGAAAGCTATCAGGAATCAGGATGTGTCCTAAGGGAGCAGAGGTATGAAATGGGCTGCTTCAGTCTGACTCTAGTCAAGTTTGGCACTAAATAGAGAAAAGGGTGTCCTTTGTTGCAGATTTTTGATCCACTCCAGCTCATCAGGGTTGAAGACAAGAAAGAAATTTGAAGCCAAAGTCCTGTTAGTAGTAAACAGTACATTTATCTGGAGTGCCCTTTATGCCACCTGTGTATCACCATAAATAGCGAGGATGACATACTGATGATTTAGGGTCCAGGCCATTTTTTTCCATCTGTACCTTACCTCACAAATAACAACGCACATATTCCTAGTAATAATCATGAATACACAAACTGGTATGCTTCTTTTATACTTTGCAACAGTTTTCTTTTCTTTTTTTTTTTTTTTTTAAAGAAACAGGGTCTCACTCTGTCACCCAGGTTGGATTGCAGCTGCACAATTACAGCCCACTGCAGCCTCAAACTCCTAGGTCCAAGCAATCCTCCCACCTCAGCCTCCCAAGTAGCTGGGAATACAGGAGTGTGCCTCCACATCTGGCTAATTTTATTTTTATTTTTTGTAGAGACAAGATCTCACTATGTTGCCTAGGCTGGTCTCGAATTCCTGGGCCCAAATGATCCTCTCACCTCAGCCTCCCAAAGTGCTGGGATTATAGATGTGAGCCAATGTGCCTGGCCTAAATTGATATTGCATTTAGATAAACACTTCTTAAATTTCAACATCTAGTTTTGATAGAATGTAAGGTCTAGAAGGCCAAAGACAGTATCTATCTTGCTCTTTCATGTATTCCCAAACATAAGACCTAGCTAGCCCATGGTAGGCACACAATAAATATTTAAATCTATGAAACTGCCAGAGTTCAAAACCTATTGAAAACAATATTTTATAGCTCTACATGCTGCCTGATATCACTTTAAATTCATGACTACTGACTTCAACTGTACCTTTGCCACCAGAAATCTTATTTTGTTTCCTCAATCCATTTACTCTCCCACTCTCCTAGAAGACTATTTCATACCTTCTGTTTCTTCAAACATCCAACATGTCCTTGCTTCCCATTTCATGGAAGAAATTGAAGCACTAGGAAAAATGCTTCCACAAACCTGCTACGACTGTGTCCACATAGTAGCACTTCTCCTATAACTATGGATAAAATGCTTAACCAAGGCCAAACCCTTCCATGAGCATTAGCTCCCATCTCCTGTCACTCACTCAAAGATTAAGGACAATCCCCTACCAACACTCCCCTCCTTTCCTATATTATCACTTATACCCCCTCCAGTGGATTATTCCCCTAAGCATACAAACATCACTTCTTCAATTTCTAGAAAAACATTCTCTTAATCCCATACCTCCTTCAGTTACCATTGCATTTCCCTTCTTCTCATCACAGCAAAACTCCTTGAAAGAGTTGTCAATTTCTATCTCCAATTTCTATCCTCTGTTTTCCCCATAGCCATTGTCACCACCTGGCATACCATGTATTTCACTTCTTTAGTTATTGTCTCCTCCTATCTATATTCCAATACAAATCTGAAAAAGGAAGTCAGGTTTTTGTTTGTTTGGTTGGTTGGTTGGTTGGTTTCCTGTTTTATTTGCTATGGCATTTCCGTTACCTAGAAGAGAAACTGGACACATCAGTTATTCAAGAAAAATTAGTTAATAAAAGAAATACTTGCTGAATGAGTAAGCCAATCCCTGTTTAAGTAAGAGATGTATGTTTTTAAGATATGCATGCATTACAACTAAGTCCAGAGTCCTACTCATCTATCTATTTGCTTTTCAACTGTTTGGGTTGGAAAAGGATATGATCATTGTTTAATATTTTCTTAAAATGTTGAGGTTCTGGTGACCTTATAAACAAGAGTCTATAAAATAAGCACTTTAATGCTATATGCTATAAAAATGTTTAAAGAAAGGAGAATTACTATAAGATTTTACAGTGAAGATGGAAAACTTGAGAGACACACAGAGCACTCTTGGACTCTTATGTGACACTAATATTTTATAATATTTGAAAATAGACATATTTCAAAGTGAATAATCTAAATGAGCTTAACAAATTTTAAAATTAAGTGCATTTTTTAATCTCTTCATCACTTGACTAAATTAAGATGTTGATCCTCTATTCATTAACAAACGAACTGAAATTTCTGTAAAATTTTCAAATTTTTCAAAGAAAAAATCAATGATGAAATGTTTTGTGAAGACTTCGCACACTGTGACATTGAAATTAAAAGATTTACTAATAGATATCAGTTATGATAATATAGAGTAATTCATGGAACTTCTCTTGTAAACAATAGTAATATGAAAACACAAAAAATCAAATGAGAATGCACAAAGTCATTAACATTTACATTGAAACCTACTGCTTGTGCACACTCCAGTTTTCTCTTTCATGAGAGTCTGAATTTTTGAAAATTAAATTTAAAACCTGATTTTTGTTTAAAATTCTACAGACAAAAACGTTTTACCTGTTCATAGGCCCCAACCTTGAGTGCTGTCTCTGGTGCAATTTTTAAAACATTTACACCATTTCCTCACCAAAGGGAAAAAATCCCTCCTTCTTTCACCAACTGCTCAAGGCCACTAATCAATCTCATTTTCCTTGACTTTAAACTATGAACCTATAAATAAATAGCACATTTATTTACTTTTCAATTCATTTTACTGGCTTTATGGCATTGGTATTGCTATTGCTAATAAAAATAAATATACATATACGCATAAATTCATGATTTTCAAGATATTTTTAATTTTCCCTCAGAGACATCTAAAACTAATATATTAATATTTCTTGTCACGAAATACATACTTTAATTAATCTGACACATCAAAGAGAAAAGGACAACTTAAAAAAACAGAAATAACTTAATTACCAGGGAATTTGAGCATAAACAAGATGCGTTGATGGTACAAATATGTTACAAGATTATTAAAGAGTACATTGAAATATGCAACGAGAAAAGGATAAATGAAAATACATCGAACTTTCAACAGTGGATATTCCTGGGTGGCAAGGTGTTATGGGTTAATATGTGTCTCCCAAAATTCATATGTTGAAGTCCTAACCCTCATTCCCTCAGAATGTGACCTAGAGATAGGGTCTTTAACAAGTTAAAGTGACATCATTAGGGTGTGCCCTACTCTGACTGGCATCCTTATGAAAGGAAATTTGGACACTGAGACATGACACACACAGAGAGGAAACAATGTGAAGAGACAGAGAAGACTGCCTTCTGCAAGCCAAGGAAAGAGACCTGGAACAGATTATTCCTCGCACCCCTCAAAAGGAGCCAACCCTGCCAACACCTTGATTTTTGACTTCTAGCCTCCAGAACCAAGACAATAAGTTTCTGTTATTTAAGCCAGTCAGTTTATGGAACTTTGTTGTAGCATCCCTAACAACCTCATACATGAGGAGTACAGGTCATTTTAACGTCTTCCTTTATCCTTTTCTGTGTTTTCCCATTTTTCTAGTGTGCTATCTTACAATAAGAAAAAAATGCTATTTTTAAGAAAGTACAGTTAAAACATTAATTAAAATGCCCTTCTGTCTATAAAGTAAGAGAAAAATCATGGGAGAACAAGGCAAAATGAACATTCTCTTCTGTGGGTAGAACAAATTTAGAAAAAAATTCAGTAAAATATTTACAGCCTTAAAAATGTTCATATCATTACTTAAACCAGGAATTTTTCAATCAAATAATCTTAACTAGGAAAAAGATTAATAAAGAATGGTGTTCATCATAAAATTATGAATAATTGCTTTAAAAAAAGGAGGATTAAAAACCACCTACGTGTCTATGGATCAGAAAAAGTGATTAAAGTATCAAAAATTCCAACCCAGGGCTCTCTGACTGTAAAGTCTCTGCTCAGGAATCATATTAAATTACCTCTGACCACAACACATATGTCTTCCTCTGTTTCACAGAATTCTTTTCCAGTTGTGTGAAGCTCACACAATAATACCTCTATCAATAGAGTGGACAAGTTCTAATGAACCCATTTCACTGTCAAATATAAGGATAAATGAAAGCCATGAGACCCAACCTAGAACAGCATAAAAGGGCAGCGACTCTTTCCTGCTTTCCGTTCCTTCCTTTGCTTCTCATTATAGTACTCTCCTCACCCCACTTCAAACTCGCTTGTATCTATCATCTTCCCTCCTCTTTTTTCCCCTATTTTCCTTTTCTTTTTTATGTTTCTGTCTCCCATCCTCTTCCTACTTTTCTCTATCCACCTCCCTTACCCCTTTCTCTTTTTTCACTCTTTTCAGGTCTCCCTATTTGCCCCCTCCCTAATCCACTGACTCATTTCCATCCCCTCAGAGAACTGAGTGCCCTTACCCTGTGTCCTTACAATAGCCACAAATACAATTTTCTATCTTGTACACGGTGATTATGTGCAATTAATTGACAACTATTGTTTTCAATATTATCATCACCATCACATAGATATGTTGTTTGTGTCTCTGTAAGGTCCTGGAGTATAAGAAATATGCTTTTTCATCTTTGTATTTCTAGCACCTAGCATATGATGGGCGCACGACAAATACATTGTCTTTATTTTTCCTCTTGGTCCCATTCCTGTGTTTCTCATCTCCCTACATGTCTCCATCTCTGTGTAGCACTGTATCATGTCTGTATATTTCTCCTTTAAATTTCATTATTTAATTTTCTGACAGGCCCAGTTACTGAGGAAGCTGTTTTATATTTCCACCTGCAACACAGAATTTTCAGCTCCTGCTCTTACCTAAGGACTGACTGAACTGAGTCACCTATCTGAAAAGAATATAGATCACAGATGGAATCAAACATGCGGAAGGATGATGGGTTATGTGTCTTACCATCTAATGCCATTCAAAGTATGTTCCCTACACTTAGCCCACTGAATTAAAGGTTTATCTCCATGGGATGCATTAACCAGAATCTCAACCTATATTTATGTAAGAAATATTAGGCATGGGGGGAATAGTATTTACTCCCCTTGGTGCTCCCACAGTACTATGTGTATCATCTGTCTGGGTAGATAGCACTTATATCACATTTTATTATTACCTATCTAACTAACTATTGTCCAAGAAAGCTTGTAAATTCTCTAAGGACAAAAACTATGTCTAACATTTTCCTATAGTCCCTAATGCCTATTAAAGCAGCTAGTATATAATTGGCCCTAAATAAATATATGTGGAATTAATGAAGTCTTTTCCCTTGCAAAACCTATCCTTCTAACAACCTATATTTTCCATAAATGATATATTTATATAAGTTTAATTCCTAATTAAGATAAATCATTTTTTAGAATGAGACAGAAGTATAAACTAAATAGTTCTTAAACATGTGACACTAAAGTTATTACACAATTAATTCACATTGTATAATAACTGTTCATAATGCATTACTAAAATGTCACCAACATTACCGAAAAGCAAAAGATAGTAAAACACCCACATATGTGAATTTAATTTGAAATTTAAGTTAATTAGGTTGTGGATGATTAATTTTTATATCCTTGCAGAGAAAGTATTCAGCAAATATCAAACTTTAATTGTGGATTCTACTTATGATAATTAACACATTAAGCCATGCACTATTTTATAACTACTGTTGACAATCCATTATTCAATGAAATAAATGTAATTAAACAAAATATAATAATAGACTCTAAACTTATTTTCTGCCTCTTGGAAATATTTTTAGTAATTAAATGGTAGAATAGAACCATGCTATTATGTTGGTGCCAGGGTTAGAGATAACCAATACAAAGTCTAATGGTATCTTCTCATTTCTTTCATAAATTTAGTTCCATTTTTGAAAAAAATTCTAATAGAGTGGTTCTATTATTATTTAAAATAAAAATTAACTTGAATACACAGTAGCTTCTTTAAGAAAATTAAGAAATCTTTTAATATTGAAAATTAGCATTTACATTTTCAGGAAAATGTAAAATTTTAATGAGAAGTAGTATATGAGAAAACATTTTTTTAAAACCTTTTTTGAAAGCTGCCAAAGACTTTTCAAGTTACTTTAACTCTTAAAGGGTAGGTAAGGCGAGCAAAAAACCTGCATCATGACTTTCAAGCGGTCTAAAGGTGCCGTGCATGTCCGTGCAACCGCACTAGCTATTCCTGCTGACACCAAACGCTTCCACCAATCTCCAGACTGCTTTTCTTGTTCGGTAAATTCATCTGGAATAGCTATACTCTCTCCTATATCAATTAACTGATAAATAGGAAGAATTATTAGACAATAAACAAAAGTGTAAACACTTGATAAATTATAAGGATAGCTTTCTACAAGGAGCAAAGATAACTTTTTACAAGGACCAAAAATCCAAAGATTTTTTTCATGCCACTTCCTGTTACTGAAGATCAACAATTTTCTTAGCACCTGTACTACATCAAGTGATTTTTAATAATGCATTGACATATAGATTTAATGTAAAATCAATTAAATTAGAGCAATTATTAATTTAAAATTCTCAAACTATTTAGTTAATCTGTTCTCTGAAAAATGTAAACCCTGAGTACAGGGATTACATACCAGCCACTCATCACAATGTCTGCCACATACTAGGCAAGGAATAAATAATAAATATTCCTTGCTTTATTTCAAATTCTCTCAAACTCCTTTAATTACTTAAACCTAAGTCAAAATTCAAGAGTAGCATCTTATATGATTTGATTAAATTTCTTTATTATTTGCATTGACTCCTTCTTCAAATGTCAGTTTCCTTTTTAAAAGTCTATACTCTAACCACTTTTGCATTTTACTTTATTTTCAGTGATCATACTTGCTTATGACAAGATGATCACTTTTTTCTAAATGATGAGGCAATGTGGTTTAGTGCAGAAGTTAGTTTCTGCCCTCTAGGAATTTACAGAGTAATAAAAGAGATAGGAAAGGAAAAAAAGCAATTATAATACAGAGAAAATAAGTAAAATAACAAGGGTAGCAAATAAAGGTGTCTTAAGAAGACAGTATAGAGGCTGGAGGCAAAGCAAGAAGGCAGAAGACTCTACCCATCATCCCCCTGCAAGGACACCAATTCAACAATTATCTACCCAAATAAAACACCTTCATAAGAACTAAAAATCAGATGAGCCCTCATAGTAACTGATTTCAGCTTTGTATCACTGAACGAGGCAGTGAAGAGATAGAACAAACAGCCTTAAATCGCTGGCACCATCCCTGCTACACCCCAACAGTGGTGGCAAGGTACGGGGAGTGTCTCTGGGCACTGGGGGAGGGAGAGCACAGCAATTGTGAGGCATTAAACTCAGTGCTGTCCTGTTAAAGAAGAAAGGAAAAGTGAACTGAACTCAGCGGACACCCACCCATGGAAGAAATAAGATGTATGTGTGTGCAAGTGTGTGTGTGTGTGTGTGTGTGTGTGTGTATGTGTGCATATGTGTTTTTGAGACAGGGTCTTACTCTGTTGCCCAGGCTGGAGTGCAGTGGTGTGATCATGGCTGACTGCAGCCTCGATCTCCCTGGGCTCAGGTGATCCTTCCACTTCAGCCTCCCAAGTAGCTGGGACCATAGGCATGCGCCACCACAAGGCTAATTTTTGTATTTTAGTAGAGATGGGGTTTCACCACGTTGCCCAGGCTGGTCTCAAACTCCTGGACTCAAGCAATACTCCCATCTTGGGCTCCCAAAGTGCTGGGATTACAGGTGTGAGCAACTATGCCCAGCCAGAGAGAGCATTTAAACCAGCCCTAGCCAGAGGAGAACTATTAATACCAGTGGTACAAACTTGAGTTCCCACAAACCTTACCACCATTAGGCCACGCTGCACTGGGTCTCTAAGTAAACTGGAAACACAGTGTAGACCATAAGGACTTCAATTGCTAGGTGAATCCTAGTGCTGAACTGGGCCCAGAGACAGGACTAGCGGAAATCTCAAGACCTACTCAGACAGCAGCTGAGGTGGCTAAGGGAGGGCTGACATCGTCCAACCCCTAACCCCAGGCTGCACATCTTACGGCACCAAAAGAGACCCCTTCCTTCCACCTGAGAAGAGGAGAGGGAAGAGTGGGGAGGACTTTATCCTGCATCTTGAATACTAGCTCAGCCACAGGAGGATAGGGCACCACTCAGAGTTGCAAGGCTCCTGTTCCAGGCCCTACCTCCTGGATGACATTTCTAGACACACCCTTGGCCAGAAGAGAATCTGTTGCCTTGAAGGGTAGGACTCGGTCCTGGCAGCATTCATCACATGCTAACTGAAGAACCCCTAGGCCCTGAATAACCAGTAGTGATACCCAAGAACTATGTCAAGAGCCTTAGGTAAGCCTATGAGACTTCAGGTGAGACTGAGTATATTACAAGCTGTGGTGGGTACAAGGCAAAACTCCTTCTGCTTGAAAAAAGCATAGGGAAAAGTAAAGGAAACTTAGGCACCGGCATGGCCACAGTGGGGGAAGGGGGTAGAGCACTAAATGGGCTCTTTAGGCCCCTGATTCCAAGACTTGACTCTTGGATGGCATTTCTTGACCTGCTGTGGACCAGAGCTGACCTGAAAGATCAGGCAGCATTCACCACAAGTGGACTTAAGAGACCTTGGGCCTTAAGAGAAAACTGGCAGTAGTCTGGCAGTATCCCAGTATTCCCCATGGCCTGTAGTGGTGGTGGCCTTTGGAAAGGGGAGGGAAGAGTGGGAAAGACTGTATCTTGTGGTTTCACCGCTTTAGGTGGCTCAAAACAGAAAAGAGACTTTGTTAGTTTGGGGAAAAGTAAAGGAAGAGAAGAAGAGTCTCTTCCTGGTAATCCAGAGAATTCTCCTGGATCTTGTCCAAGACCATTAAGGCAGTACCTCTATGAGTGTGCAAGAACCACAGGCTTACTGGGTTTTGGGTGCCCTCTAAAACAGATACAGCTTAGATCACAACACTCAAGTTCTTTCAAATAACTGGAAAGCCTTCCCAAGAAGAACAGGTACAAACCAGCCTAGACAGTGAAGACTATAATGAAAACCTAACTTTTCAATGCTGAGACACCAAAGAACATCTGCTGGCATCAACACCATTCAGAAAAACACAACCTCACCAAATGAACTAAATAAGGCACCAAAGACCAATCCAGAAGAAACAGATGTGTGACCTTTCAGACACAGAATTCAAAATAATTTTCAGGAAACTCAAAGAAATTCAAGATAACACAGGGAAGGAATTCAGAATTCTATCAGACGAATTTAACAAAGAGATTAAAATAATTAAAATGAATCAAGAAGAAATTCTGGAGCTAAAAAATGCAACTGGCATACTGAAGAATGGATCAGAGTCTTTTAATAGCAGAATTGGTCAAGCCGAAGAATTAGTGAGCTTGAAGACAGGCTATTTGAAAACACAAAGAAGAAACAAAACGAAAAAAAAAAAAAAAGAATAAAAAACAATGGAGCATGCCTATAGAATCTAGAAAAATAGCCTCAAATGGGCAAATCTGAGTTATTGGCCTTAAAAGAGGAGATAGAGATAGGAATAGAAAGTTTATTCAAAGCAATAATATCAGAGAACTTCTCAAACATAGAGAAAGATATCAATATCCATGTACAAGAAGGTTCTAGAACACCAAGCAGATTTAACCCAAAGAAAATTACCTCAAGGCATTTAATGATCAAAATCACAAAGATCAAGGATAAAGATCCTAAAAGCAGCAAGAGAAAAGAAGCAAATACTGTACAATGAAGCTCCAATATGTCTGGCAGCAGACTTTTCAGTGAAAATCTTACAGGCCAGTAGAGAGTGGCATAACATTTTTTGTTTATTTGTTTTTTTGAGATGGAGTCTCGCTCTGTTGCCCAGGCTGGAGTGCAGTGGCGTGATCTCGGCTCACTGCAAGCTCTCCCTCCCGGGTTCACACCATTCTCCTGCCTCAGCCTCCTGAGTAGCTGCGACTACAGGTGCCCGGAGAGTGGCATGACATGTTTAAAGTGCTGAAAGAAAATAACTTTTACCCTAGAATAATATATATAGCAAAAATATCCTTCAAACGTGAAGGAGAAATACTTTCCCAGACAAACAAAAGGCTAAAGGATCATCAATACCAGACCTGTTCTACACAAAAGGATAAAAGGAGTACTCCAGTCAGAAAGAAAAGGACATTAATAAGCAATCAAATCATCTGAAGGTACAAAACTAACTGGTAGTAGTAAGCGCACAGAAAAACACAGAATGGTACGACACTGTAATTGTGGTGTGTAAACTATTCTTATCTTTAGAAAAACTAAATCATCAACCAATCAAAAATAACTACAACAACTTTACAAGTCATAGACAATACAATAAGACATAAAGAGACACAAAAAAAGTTAAAAAGTGGAGGCATGAAGTTATAGAGTTGTATTAGTTTTCTTTTTGCATATTTGTTTATGCAAACTGTTAAGTTCTTATCAGGTTAAAATAGTGGGTTATAAAATAATATTTTCAAGCCTCATGGTAACCTCAAACATAAAAACAGAATGGATACATAAAAAAATTAAAACCAAGAAACTAAATCATATTACTAGAAGAGATAACCTTCACTAAAGATAGGAAGTAAAGAAAGAAGGATGAGAAAATCACAAAACAACCAGAAAACAAATAACAAAACAGCAGGAGTAACTCCTTACTTATCAATAATAACATTGAATGTAAATAGACTAAACTCTCCAATCAAAAGACATAGAGTGGCTAAATGGATGAAAACACAAGACCCATTAACCTGTTGCCCACAAGAAACACACTTCGCCTATAAAGACACACATAGACTGAAAATAAAGGGATGGAAAAAGACATTCCATGCCAACGGAAACCAAAAAAGAGCAGAAGTAGCTATACTTATATCAGACAAAATGACTTCAAGTCAAAAGCTGTAAGACACAAAAAATGTCATTATAATGATAAAGGCGTCAATTCAGCAAAAGGATATAACAATTGTATATATAAATATATGCACCCAACACTGGAGCACCCATATATATATAAAAAGAAAATATTATTAGAGCTAAAGAGAAAGAGAGGCCCCAATACAATAATAGCTAGACTTCAACATCCCACTTTCTCATTGGACAGATCTTCCAGACTGAAAATCAATAAAGAGGCACTGCTCTCATGAAAAAATAGAGAGGGTGAGTAAATAAAGCACCTTCAACTGAAACATCCAGGTACACACATTGAGATTCATCAAGAAAACAACTCAACCCATGGAGAATGAAGAAAAGCAACGCAAGATGACCACCCACCCAGGAGTGACATGGAGCCAATGGAGCCTCCCCTGCCCAGGAAAGTGGCGAGTGAATGCGTGACCCTGAGAACCCATGCTTCTCTCACAGATCTTTGCAACACTTGGGTCAGGAGATCCCTTCATGAACTCACTCCAACAGAGCTTGCAGTCTGACACACTGAGCTACATGGAGTCTTGGCAAAGCAGCTGCTGAGGCATACACAGAGCCACAGGAACTTCAGATACCCAAGCTTCCTGGTGAATGCAGCTGCAACTCCAGCAAAGTGGGAGGCTGGACCCCTCTACATACCCCTAAGGAAAGGGACTGAATCTATGGGGCTGAGCAGCAAAGGTCTGCAGGTCCTGCTTCCATGGCACCTCACAGGATAAGACACACTAGCTTAGAACTCCAGCCCGCCACCAGTAGCAGTGTTATATTTCCCTGACATGGATCTCCCAGACGGAGGGGTGGGCCACGATCTTTGCTGTTTTGCAGGCTTAGCCATTGTTGCCTTCAATGCAGCTACCCTACGAAAAAGTGGCCAGACGGCTACTTTTTACATGGATACCTAACCCCACTTTTCCTAATTGAGTAGGACCTCCTAACTGGAGTCACCAGCTACCCTCACCTGTATTTTCCAGCTGGCAGTGGTTCCCAGCCTCCCTGGGATGGAACTCACAAGCAGACAGACCACCATCTTTGCTGTTTCACAGCCTAAGCTGTTGTTACCTTCAGGCTCTAGGACTGACTAGTGACTAGTGACTGGAGCAGGTCCCCCAGCATGGTGCAGCAGCTCTGTGGAGAAGCAGCCAGATCGCTTTTACATGAGGGTCCTGGATACCACTTCTCTTCACTGGGCAGAATCTCCTGATGGAGGTCTCTAACAACCTCCACTGGTGTTTTCCAGCCAGCAATAGTTTCAAACCGCCCTGAGATGGAGCTCCCAGAGGAATGGATGCACTCCCACCCTTGCTGTTTCTCAGCCTTAGCCATTGCTGCCTTTGGGATTTAGAGAGTCCAAAGAGACTAGAGACTGGAATGGAGCCCCATCACAGTACAACTGCTCATAAAAAGCAGCCAGACTGTTTATTCACATGGGTCCCCAATCTTGTTCCTCCTCACTAAGCAGGACCTCCCAACCGAGATATCTATCCACCCCGCTGGTGTTTTCCAGCTGACAGCAGCTTCAAAAGTCTGTGGGACAAAACTCCCAGAGGGAGGGCTGGGCTGCCATCTTTGCTGTTTTGCAGCCTTCACTGTTGATACCTTCAGCTGCTGAAAAATCTGAGGTGGTTATGGACTGGAGTGAACCCCCAAGAGACTGCAGCAGCCCTAGGAAAAAGTGGCCAAACTCTTTATTATGTGGGTCCCCAATCCTGTACCTCCTCACTAGACAGGTCCTCCCAGACTGGGTCTCTAACCACCCCTGCTGGGTCTATCAAGCCAGTGGCAGCTATGCAACTCACTGAGACAAAGCTCCCAGTGAGAAGAGTGGGATGCCATCTTTGCTGTCTCCAGGCCCTGGAGAGTCCACAGGAACCATGGCGTGGTTTGGACCCCTAGCACAGAGCACTCATCTGAAAGAAAGGTGGCCAGACTTTTCTCCATGCAGGTCCCAGTCCTCACTTTTACTCACTGGACAGGGGCACCCAACCTGGGGTTCCAAAACAATCCCCCTGCCTCCACCTGACCACTTCAATCAGTGGCAGCCCAGCAGTTAAAGGAACACTCACACACAGACACACAGAGATGGGGAAAAAGCCAATGCAAGAACTCCGGCAACTCAAATGGCCAGAGTATCTTATGTCCTCCAAATCACTGCACTAGTTTTCCAACAGGCATTCTTAACCAGGAAGAACTGGCTGAAATGACAGAAATACAATTTGGACTATAGATAAAAATTATTGACATTCAGGAGAATGGCAAAACCCAGTCCAAAAACACTATAGAAACAATAGAGGAGCTGACAAATAAAATAGCAAGGAAAAAAAAACCCTAATTGACTTCATAGAGCTGAAAAACACACTACAAGAATTTCACAATGCAGTCACAAGTATTAACAGCAGAATAGACTAACCAGAGGAAAGAATCTCAACAGGTGAACACTGGCTCTCTGAAATAAGACAGACAAAAATAAAGAAAAAAGAATGAAAGGGAACAAACAAAACCTCTGAAAAATATCGAATTTTGCAAAGAGGCCAAATCTATGAATCATTGTCATCCCTGAAAGAGGAGGAGAGAAAGCAGCAACTTAGAAAACATATTTCAGGATATCATATATTAACACTTACCCAACCTCACTAGAGAGTCCAAAGTTCAAATACAGGAAATGCAGAGAACCCCTACAAGATACTACACAAAAGATCATCCCCAAAACACATAATCATTAGATTTTCCAAGGTCAAAATGAAAGGCAAAATGTTAAAGGCGGCTAGAAAGAAAGGGCAGGTTGCCTACAAATGGAAAACCCCATCAAGCTAACAGCAGACCTCTCAGCAGAAACCCTACAATCCAGAAGAGATTAGGGGCCCATATTTACCATTCTTTAAAAAAAAAAAATCTTCAACCAAAAATTTCATATCTAGCCACATTTAGCCTCATAAGTGAAGAAGAAAAAAGATCCTTCCCAGACAAGCAAATGTTGAGAGAATTCATTACCACCAGATCTGCCTTACAAGAGCTCCTAGAAATCACACAAAATATAGAAAGGAAAGATGATTACCACTGAAATACCCAAACCAGACACTACAAAGCAACCACACAAACAAGTCTGCATAACAACCACCTAACAACGTGATGACAGGATCAAATCCCCACATATCAATACTAAATGTAAATCAGCAATACTTGAATGTAAATGGGCTAAATGTCCCAATTAAAACACACAGAGTAACAAGCTGGATAAAAGAGCAAGACCTAATGGTATGCTATCTTCAGGAGATCCATCTCACATGGCATGAGATCCATCTCACACCAAGAGGTTCAAAGTAAAGTGATGAAGGAAAATCTATCAAGCAAATGGAAATCAAAAAAAGCAGGGGTTACAATCTTAATTTTAGACAAAACAGACTTTAAATCAACAAAGATAAAAAAAGACAAGAACATTACATAATGGAAAAGGGTTCAGTTCAACAAGAAGATCTAATTATACTAAATATACATGCATCTGACACAGGAGCTCCCAGATTCATAAAGCAAGTTCTTAGAGACCTATGAAGAGACTTAGACTCCCACACAATAATAGTGGGAGACCTCAACACTTCACTGACAGTGTTAGACAGATCATCAAGGCAGAAAATTAACAAAGATACTCAGGACCTGAACTCAGCAATTGACCAAATGGACTTAACAGACATCTACAGAATGCTCCATCAAAAAAACAACAGAATATATATTCTTCTCATTGCCACATGGTACATACTCTAAAATCGACCACACAATTGGACGTAAAACAATCCTCAGGAAATTTTTAAAAACCAAAATTATACCATCCACACTCTCAGATCTCAGGCTACAGAACAATAAAAATAGAATATGAAGAAAATTGCTCAATCCCATACATTTACATGGAAATTAAATAACCTGCCCTTGAATGACTTTTGGGAAAATAATGAAATTAAGGCAGAAATCAAGAAGTTCTCTGAAACTGATGGGAACAAAGATACAACATACCAGAATCTCTGCAACATAGCTAAGGCAGTGTTAAGAGGGAAATTTACAGCATTAAATGCCCACACCAAAAAGTTACAAAGATCTCAAATTAACCACCTAAAATCACAACTAGAAGAAATAGAGAAGCAAGAGCAAACTAACCCCAAAGTTAGCAGAAGACAAGAAACAACCAAAATCAGAGCTGAACTGAAAGAGACTGAGACACGAAAAACCATACAAAAGACCAACAAATCCAGGCGTTGGATTTTTGAAAAAATTACTAATATAGATAGACCACTAGTCAGTCTAATAAAGAAAAAGAGAGAAGACCCAAATAAACACAATTAGAAATTACCAAGGGGATGTTACCACTGACTCCACAGAAATACAAACAACCATGGAGATTACTGCAAACACCTCTATGCACACAAACTAGAAAACCTAGAAGAGATGGATGAATTCCAGGACAGACATACATGCTCAAGACTGAACCAGGAAGAAATGGATTCCCTGAACAGGCCAATAACAAGCTCTGAAACTGAAATTAAATCATTAATACATAGCTTTCCAACCCCCAGCTGCCCAAAAAAGCCTAGGACCAGAAGGATTCACAGTCAAATTCTCCCAGATGTACAAAGAAGAGCTGGTACTATCCTTACTGAAACTTTTCCAAAAAATTGAGAAAGAGGGATTCCTCCTGAACTCATTCTAGGAAGGCAGCATCTTCCCAATACCAAAACCTGGCAGAGACACAATAATAAAAGAAAACATCAGGCCAATAACCTTGATGAAAACGATGCAAAAATCCGCAACAAAATACTTGCAAATGGCCAGGCACAGTGGCTCATGCCTGTAATTCCAGCATTTGGGGAGGCCAAGGTGAGCAAATCACTTGAGCTCAAGAGTTTGAAACCAACCTGGACAACATGGCAAAACCCCATCTCTACCCACTCACCCCCCCCAAAAAAATATAAAAACTTAGCCAGGTACAGTGGCACACACCTATGGTCCAAGGTACTCAGGAGGCTGAGGTAGGAAAATTGCTTGAGCCCAGGAGGACAAGGCTGCAGTGAGCCAAGATCACACCACTGCACTCCAGCCTGGGTGACAGAGTAAGACTCTGTCTCTAAAACTATATATATATTTGCAAACTGAATCCAGCAGCACATCAAAAAGCTAATCCACCGTGATCAAGTAGGCTTTATCCCTGGGACGCAAGGTTGGTTCGATATATGCAAATCCATAAATATGATTCATCATATAAACAGAACTAAACACAAAAACCACATGATTATCTCAACAGATGCAGCAAAGGCATTTGACAAAATCCACCATTGTTTCACGTTAAAAACTCTCAATAAACTAGGTATAGAAGAAACATACTTTAAAATACAAAGTATTGCACTTGTACAAAGAAGAGCTGGTATCATTCCTGCTAAAATGATAAGAGCCACCTATGACAAACCTACAGCCAACATCATACTGAATGGGCAAAATCTGGAACCATAGCCCTTGAAAACTGACACAAGACAAAGATACCCTCCCTCGCCACTCCTATTCAACATTGTATTGGAAATCCTGGCCAGAGCAATGAGGCAAGAGAAAGAAATCAAGGGCTTCCAAATAGGAAGAGGGAAAGTCAAACTATCCCTGTTTGTAGATGACATGATTCTATATATAAAAAACCCAAAAGTCTCAGCCTAAAAGCTCCTTGAGCTGATAAACAACTTTGGCAAAGTCTTAGGATACAGAATAAATGTACAAAAATCACTAGCATTTCTGTACCCCAACAGCATCCAAACCAATAGTGGAATCAGTAATGAAATGCCATTCTCAACTGCCACAAAAAGAACAAAATACCCAGGAATATAGCTAACCAGGGAGGTGAAAGATCTCTACAATTAGACTGCTCAAAGAAATGAGATGACACAAACAAATAGAAAAACATTCATTCTCATGGATAGGAAGAATCAGTCTTGTTAAAATGGCTATACTGCCCAAAGCAATTTATAGATTCAATGCTGTTCAGTCAAACTACCAATGACATTCTTCCAATGTCAAACTACCAATGACAGAACTAGAGAAAAACTATTTTAAAATTCATATGGAACCAAAAAAGAGCCTACATAGCCAAGACAATCCTAAGCAAAAAGTACAAAGCTAGAGGCATCACATTACCCAACTTCAAACTATGCTACTGGGCTCTTGTAACCAAACAGCAAGACACTGGTACAAAAACAGACATACAGACCAAGGGAACAGAATAGAGAGCCCAGAAATAAGGATACACACCTACAACTATCCTGATCTTTGAAAAAGTTGACAAAAACAAGCAATGAGGAAAGGACTCCCTATTCAATAGATGGTGCTGGGATAACTGGCTAGCCATGTGCAGAAGATTGAAACTGGATCCCTTCTTTGCACCGTATACAAAAATCAACTTGAGATGAATTAAAGATTTTAAATGTAAAACATAAAACTATAAAAATCCTGGAAGATAGCCTAAGAAATACCATTCTGGATATAGGAAAGGGCAAAGATTTCATGATGAAGACACCAAAAGCAATCGCAACAAAAGCAAAAATTGACAAATGGGATCTAACTAAACTAAAGAGCTTCAGCACAGCAAAAGAAACTATCAACAGAGTAAACAGACAACCTACAGAATGGGAAAAAGTATTTGCAAACTATACATCTGACAAAGGTCTAATATCTATCATCTATGAGGAACTTAAATTTACAAGAAAAAAAATATAACTTCATTAAAAAGTGGACAAAGGACATGAACAGGCACTTTTCAAAAGAAGACATACACATGGCCAACAAGCATATGAAAAAATGTTCAATATCAATAATATGGTTTGACAGTGTCCCTACCCAAATGTCAACTTGAATTGTAACTCCCAGAATTCCCATGTGTTCTGGAAGAGACCCAGGTGGAGGTAATTGAATCATGGGGGCTGGTCGTTCCTGTGCTATTCTTGTGATATTGAATAAGTCTCACAAGATCTGATGGGTTTATCAGGGGTTTCCACTTTTGCTTCTTCCTCATTTTCTCTTGCCATTGCCATGTAAGAAGTGCCTTTCACCTCCCACCATGATTCTGAGGCCTCTCCAGCCATGTGGAACTGTAAATCCAATTAAACCTCTTTTTCTTCTCAGTCTTGGGTATGTCTTTATCAGCAGTGTGAAAAAGCACTAATACAATAAATTGGTACCAGTAGAGTGGGGCATTGCTGAAAATATACCTAAAAATGTGGAAACAACTTTGGAACTGGGTAACAGGCAGAGATTGGAACAGTTTGGAGGGCTCAGAAGAAGATAAGAAAATGTGGGGAAATTTGGAACTTCCTATAGACTTTTTGAATGGCTTTGCCCAAAATGCTGATAGTGATATGGACAATAAGGTCCAGGCTGAGGTGATCTCAGATAGAGATGAAGAATTTTTTGGGAACTGGAGTAAAGGTGACTCTTGTTATGTATTAGCAAAAAGACTGGAGGCATTGTGCCCCTGCCCTAGAGATTTCTGGAACTTTGAACTTGAGAGAGATGATTTAGGGTATCTGATGGAAGAAATTTCTAAGCAGCAAAGCATTCAAGAGGTGACTTGGGTGCTGTTAAAGGCATTCAGCTTTATAAGGGAAGCAGCACATAAAAGTTTGAAAATTTGCAGCCTGACTATGCGATAGAAAAGAAAACCCCATTTTCTTGGGAGAAATCCAAGCCAGCTGCAGAAATTTGCATAAGTAGCAAGGAGCCTAATGTTAATCCCCAAGACCATGGGAAAAATGTCTGCAGGCCATGGCAGAGACATTCAAGGCAGCCCCTCCCATCACAGGCCTGGAGGCCCAGAAGGAAAAACTGGCTTCCTGGGCCAGGCCCAGGGTCCCCATGCTGCATGCAGCCTAGAGACTTAGTGACCTGTGTCCCAGCTGCTCCAGCCATGATTGAAATGGGCCAATATACAGCTCAGGCTGTGGCTTCAGAAGGTGGAAGCCCCAAGCCTTGGCAGCTTCCATGTGGTGTTGAGCCTGCGGGTGCACAGAAGTCAAGAACTGAGGTTTGGGAACTTCTACCTAGATTTCAGAAGATGTATCGAAACGCCTGGATGCCCAGGCAAAAGTTTGCTGCAGGGGCAGAGCCCTCACAGAGAACCTCTGCTAGGGCACTGTAGGAGGGAAATGTGGGGTTGGAGCCCCCAAACCGAGTCCCTACTAAGGCACTGCCTAGTGGAGCTGTGAGAAGACAGCTACTGTCCTCCAGACCCCAGAATGGTGGATGCACTGACAGCTTGCACTGTGTGCCTGCGAAAGCCATAGACACTCAATGCCAGCCCATGAAAGCAGCTGGGAAGGAAGTTATATCCTGCAAAGCCACAGGGGCTGAGCTGCCCAAGACCATGGGAACCCACCTCTTACATCAGCATGACCTGGATGTGAGACCTGGAGTCAAAGAAGATCATTTTGGAGTTTTAAAATTTGACCGCCTCACTGGATTTTGGACTTACATGGGCCCTATAACCCATTTGCTTTGGTCAATTTCTCTGATTTGGAACAGCTGTATTTACCCAATACCTGTACCTCCATTGTATCCAGGAAGTAATTAGTTTGCTTTTGATGTTACAGGCTCATAGGCGGAATGGACTTGCCTTTTCTCAGATGAGACTTTGGACTGTGGACTTGTGGGTTAACGCTAAAATGTTAAGATTTTGGGGGACTATTGAGAAGGCATGATTGGTTTTGAAATGTGAGGACATGAGATTTGGAGGCACCAGGGGCAGAATGATATGGTTTGGCTGTTTCTCTACCCAAATCTCAATTTGAATTGTATCTCCCAGAATTTCTATGTGTTGTGTGAGGGACCCTGGGGGAGGTAATTGAATCATGGGGGCTGGTCCTTCCCGTGCTATTCTCATGATAGTGAATAAGTCTCACAAGATTTGATGGGTTTATTAAGGGTTTTTGCTTGTGCTTCTTCCTCATTTTGTCTTGCCACCACCATGTAAGAAGTGCCTTTCACTTCCTGCCATGATTCTGAGGCCTCCCCAGCCATGTAGAACTCCAAGTCCAATTAAACCTTTTTCTTCCCAGTCTCGGGTATGTCTTTATCAGCAGTGTGAAAATGGACTAATACAATCACCAATCATTAGAGAAATGAAAATCAAAACCATAATGAGATGCCATCTCACATCAGTCAGAATGGCTATAATTAAAAAAAATAACAGATGCTGGTGAGGTTGTGGAGAAGAGAGAATGCTTATACACTGCTGGTGGGAATGTAAATTAGTTCAACCATTGTGGAAAGCAGTGTGGCAATTCCTCAAAGAACTTAAAACAGAACTACCATTCAACTCAGCAATCCCATTACTGGGTATATGCCCAAAAAAATATAATCATTCTAAGACACATGCACATGTATGTTCACTGCAGTGCTATGCACAATAGCAAAGACATGGAAACAACCTAAATGCCCATCAAGGGCAGACTGGATAAAGAAAATGTGGTACATATATATCATGGAATACTATGCAGCCCTAAAAAAGAAACAAAATCATGTTCTTTACAGAAATATGGATGTTGCTGGAGGCCAATATCCTTAGCAAACTAATGCAGGAAAAGAAAACTAAATACCTCACGTTCTCACTTATAAATGGAAGCTAAATAATAAGAACCAGTGGGCACTAACGGGACAACAGATACTGGAGCCTGCTTGAGGAAGGAGAGTGGGAGAAGGAAAAATAACTATTGGGTACTATCTTAGTACCTGGGTCACAATATGGTCTCTACACCATACCCCCATGACAATAGTTTGCCTATATTAAAAAACCTGCACATATACCCCTGAACCTAAAATAAAATTTTAAAAAAAGAAATCCATAACTCCTGTAAAAAGAAAGACCACAAACTGAACCTCTACTACATTATCTATTAGGATTAATAGGTAGACAAATCAAGAATTTAAATACACATAATAAATATAATAAACATTCTCCAAAATATTGGAGCTATATTGCATATTATTCACAAAATGCAGGCATTAAGGTATAAAGAAGAACCAAGTAGAAATATTAGACATGAAATATATAATAATAAAACCTACCGATGGAATAAATAGCCGAATGACTACAGCCAAAGAATGGTCAAGTAAAGGAACTCTCCCAGAAAACATCAGGCAGGAAGAAAGGCACAGAGATTAGAAATGAAAAGTTAAGAGACTGTGAAGATAGAACAAGAAAGGTTAACTTCTATGTAAGTCTTTAAAAAGTAGAAAAAATAAATGTCAAGAAAATATAAGAATAATAACCAAGAATTTTCCAGAATTGGAGAGAGATGAAGCACCTCATATTGGAAGGGCTCAGAAAAAATATTTGAGAAAAGCTTACCTAAATGTATTATATACATTATATATATACACATATTATATATACACATTACATATATATTATAAATACATTATATATACATTATACATATACATATATACATTATATACATACATTATAAATATATAGTTTTGTTGTTGTTGTTTCGTTTTGTTTTCTTTTTTTTGAGACAAGGTCTCACTCCCATCACCTAGGCTGGAGTGCAGTGGCACTATCATCGCTCACTTCAGCATTGACTTCCCTGGCTCAGATGATTCTCCCACTTCCCCCTTCTGACCCTCCTGACCACCAGGCCTGGGTAATTTTTGTATTTTTTTGATGGGGGTGGGGTTTCGGCATGCTGCTCAGGCTGGCCTCCAACTCCTGAGCCCAAGAGATCTGCCCACCTTGGCCTCCCAAAGTGCTGGTATTACAGGTGTAAGCCACCACTCCTGACCATCCAAATGCATTGTAATGAAATTTTAAAACATCAAAGACAAGGAGAGAAAAAGTTTTTTAAGTGTTCTGAGATAAAGAACAAATCAGCTGACCCTTGAACAACACAGGTTTGAACTGTGTAGGTCCACTTATACAAAGATTTTTTGCAATAAATACAGTTGGCCCTCTGTATCTGTGGGTTTGTGTCTACAACCAAACAGACTGAAACTACAGTATTCATAAGATGTGCAATTTGCTAATACCAAAGGCTGACTTTTCATATACCAGGTTCTACCAAGGCAACTTCGGGACTAGAGTATGCACAGATTTTGGTATTGACAGCAGGTGTTGGGGTGGAGAGTGGGATCCTGGAACCAATGCCCGTGGATACCTAGGGACGACTGTACAAACAAGAATCCAATTGAGGTCATACGATGTAAGAAGGCAATGCAATAATATTTTCAAACCAATCAATTAAAGAAACTTTTAATCTAGAATTTTAAACAAAAATACCGGGCTGGGTGCGGTGGCTCACGCCTGTAATCCCAGGACTTTGGGAGGCCGAGGTGGGCGGATCACGAGGTCAGGAGATCGAGACCATCCTGGCTAACATGGTGAAACCCCGTCTCTATTAAAACTACAAAAAATTAGCCAGGCGCGGTGGCGGGCGCCCATAGTCCCAGCTACTCAGGAGGCCGAGGCAGGAGAATGGCGTGAACCTGGGAGGCGGAGCTTGCAGTGAGCTGAGATAGTGCCACTGCAGTCCGGCCTGGGTGAAGGAGTGAGACTCCGTCTCAAAAACAAAAAAAAACAAACAAAAAAAATCACCTAAAAGCAAACATACAAGAACAGTATCTATTGAATATCTCAGCAGACTTAGCGCCCAAAGACCCTCTTTGAAAACACTCTTGGAAGAGGCACTCCAGCAAAGAGAGAAATAAACCCAGAAGAACATTAGAAGATAAATGAGAAGTAAAGATAAATAAAGTAAGCTAAAATTTATTATTTTTTTAAAAAAGGCAAATATACACACCATACAAACGCAACTATATCCAATAAAATCCACTAAAATTCTAGATAATACCAAGGAAATATGGGTTATGGCAAAAAACAAATGGAAGTAAGAGTACATTGAAGTACACCTATATTGTTTAGGAGAAGATACAGATTGAACTTCAGAAGAAAAACCATCATGAGAGATTGTTAAAAGGAACAACTAATCAAAAAGATATAAAATTTATGAACATATATACACGTTAACCACACAGGCTCAAAATATTTTCAGCAACAACCAGTGGAACTACAGGAAGAAATAAATTAGCAACTATACTTGCTAATTTTAAAATATTCTTCTCAGAATTTTATAGATCAAACAGAATAAAAATTATAATGCATATAAAATAATAAGGTTTAGCTTAATTGATTTATATAGAAATTTACATCCAACAAGCAAAAAATATACATTAATTTTTAGGACACATGCATAGAACATATTTTTTAAAACTGACCATTTAATAGGCAACAAATGAAGCCACAATAAATTCCCAGGAATCTATATCATACCCTCTATAATTCCTGACTATATTTCAATATCATACATAACAAAAGGATGTCTTTAAAAGAAAACCCTCAGCCAGAAAATTATGCACACACATAAAATAAAGATATTACCTAATTAATCCTAGGATTAAAGAGGAAATCTCAGGGAGAAGTTGTAAAATAAATGGTGCCTGAATGACAATAAAAACACTATATATCAAAATATATATGGTATCAGTTGGACCTAGGAAAGAAAAACTCATAGAATACAGGTACTAGTAGTTTGAAAAAAACATAAAATACATCCTTCAGAAAACATGAAATGGTGAAAACATGGAAGCACTCTGTATTAGTTAGGGCTCTCCAGAAAGACAAAACCAATAGGATGGATGGATGGATAGATATAAGATAGATAGATAGATAGATAGATAGATAGATAGATAGATAGATAGATAGAGTTTATTACAGGAATTCATTCATTGGGCTCATGCAATTATGGAGGCTGAGAAGTCCAAGGTTGAGGGGACACATCTGTGAGAGCCTGCTCGCTGATGGGGACTTTCTGCAAATTACCATTCTTGTAGGTCAAAAATAGTTGGATATCAGAAATTTCCTATAGTTCAACTAATAGATAGCTATCATTATTCTCATTTTACTGAAGAAATTGAAGCACAGAGAGATTCAATAACTTGCCCAAGTTACACAGACAATCATTGTCAATGTTATAATTTGAGCCTAGGAAGTGTAGTTTCAGAGTCTGTCTCTCAACCAGTATGCTATACTGCACTGCTTCTTGGAAATTATCTCCATGGATGCAAAAAAGTTATTTAATAAATCTCATCACCGATTTATCATTAAAAAATATGTATCTGACTGAAAGTAAAGAGCAGTTGCCCAGGGATAGGTGGAAGAGTAGAGATTAACTGTAAACATGTACCAGGAATTTTGGGGATAATGGAAATGTTCTAAAAATGGATTATGGTGATTGTTGTACTGTTCTCTTAATTTACTAAAATAATTGAATTTATTTGCACTCTTAAAATGGGTGAATTTTATGTTATATAAATATATTTAAATAATTATATTTTTAAAATTCTGAAAACTTCCTTAGTTTGCTAATAATTATAAGAACAACAACATAGCAAGCATCATACTTAATAGAAGAAATTTTAGAAGCATTTAAAAAAATGCTTCATGAATAAGAAATAATGATTGCCATCCCTGCTGCTATCTAACACAGTACTGAAGATTCTAGCCAAAGATATAAGCTAAAAAGAATTGTTTTCATATGGGAACTAAAATAAAAGAAATAATATTGTTATTAAAAGAATATGGTCATAAACAAGGAAAAACAAAAGTATTAGGTGGCAAATTGTTATAATAAATAAGAGAGTTCAGCAAAGTACCAGATAGAAGATCAACTTACAAAAAGGAGTTTCTCAAAGCAGAAATAATCAAGTGGAAAATTTAATAGGAAAGAAGATACATTCACAAAAGTGGCAAAATCTATACAGCATCTAAGATTTAACCTAACAAAGAGGACAGAAGACCATTTCAGGGAAAAAAATGTAACCTCTGTTAAATAATATAACAAGAAATCTGAATAGAGATAATTTGATCATGTTTGTGGATAGAGTAACTTAAAATTATGAAGATACCTGTTTTACCCAAATTATTCTATAAATTCACTGCTGCAATGGACTGAATGTTTGTGTCCTGCTTCACCGTCAGTTCAAATGTTGAAACCCTCATCCCAGTGTGATGGTATTTGGAGGTGGGGTCTTTGAAAAATAATTACATCAGAAGCCTTCATAAGAAGCCAGACAGCTAGCTAGCTACCTTTCCATACTGTATGAGGATGGCAAGAAGACGGCTCTCTGTCAGCCAGGAAAAGGGCATTCCCCAAGAACCCAACCATGCTGGCAACCTGATCTAGGACTTCCAGCTTTCAGAACTCTGAAAAATAAATGCCTGAACTTTAAGTAGCCCAGTACATATAGCAGCATGAACTGGCTAAGACAGAAATTGGTACTGAGAAATGAGGCACTGCAATAACAAGTACATTAAAGTGTGGAAGCAATCTTGGAAGTGGGTAATGGGTAGAGGCTGCAAGAATTGTGAAGTACATGCTAGAAAATGTCAATGTTGCCATGACGGGATTTTAAAGGCAATTGTGATTATGGCTCAGAAATAAAAGAGGAGAGCTGTACAGAAAGCTTCTGTCTTCTTAAGACAGTACATAATTATGAATCGTGTTAGTAGAAATATGGATAGTAGAGGCCATTCATGATAAAGCCTCAAATGGAAATGATGAAACATGTTATTAGAAACTAGAGGAAAGCCCATCCTTGTTATAAAGTGGTAAAAAACTTGGCTGAATTGTGTTTATGTTCTAGTGTTTTGTGGAATGTAGAACTTGTAAGTGATGAAACTGGATACTTAGTGGAGGAAATTTCTAGGCAAAGTGTTGAAGGAGTGGCTTACTTCTTCCCGATCACTTATAGAAAAAGGTAAGAGAGAAATAAGTTGAAGATGGAATCATTAAGCAAAAAGGAACCAGAACTTAAATATTTGAAAATTTCTGAACTGTTAATGTTACAAAAAAATTTTTAAAAAGCATGTTCAGAAGAGAACACTAAGGGTGTGGTGAACTAACCACTTGAAAAGGAGATTCGTGTAAGTGTGAACCATGGACTTCATCAGCCATCTCAACAGAAACCAGGAACAGAGATGGGGCAATTCTAGCAGAAATGCCAGCTGAGACTAAAGGAAAGAGAGAAAATAGGATACAATTAAGGAAGACCATCAGACTTCTTAGAACTTCAGGACTACAGGACTCAACCACTGAGCAGAAAACATGCACTATCCAAAACAAGAGAAGAAGGACCCCAAAGGAGATTCAGAAATCCACAGAGCTGCCACTTCCACCATTGGCCCAGAGTGCCATGGGCTGAGCCAGAGAATGGGGCTGCCTCCACCTCAGTTTCAAACGGTGGGACCAACACGCAGCAGAGCCATGGGGCAGGGCTGTTGGGACCCACTGGGACACCACCCCCACTGGGCAGAGGTATAAAAGAGGAACCATTGCCACCATGAGTCCAGAGAGTAGAACATCAAAATGATTATTCTTGAGCCTTAAGATCTCACAGAGCTTGCCTTGCTATTAACTTGCCTAGGACCCATTTTTCCTTTCCTTCTTTCCTCTTTCTCCCTTTTGGAATGGGAATGTCTCTCCTATTCCTGTATATTTTGGAAGCACATAAATTGCTTACTTTCACAGGTTCACAGCTGGAGAGGAATTTGCCTCAGGATGAATTGTACTTCAAATCTTACCCATATCCAATTTATGTGATATTTAGATGAGACATTGTACTTCAGACTTTTAAAGTTAATGCCAGAACAAGTTAAGTATTTGGGGGCTGTTGGAATGGAATGGGTTTATTTTGCATGTGAGAAGAACATGAATTTGGGGGAGCCAGGGGCAGAATGCAATGAATGAAACGTATGTCTCCAAATTCATATATTGAAATCCTAATCGAAATGTGATGATATTTGGAGTTGCGGCCTTTGGGAGATAATTAGGTCATGAGAGTGGATCCACTATAATTGGAATTAGTGCCCTTAAAAGATGACACCAGAGGTCTAGCTAGCTCTCTTTCCACTATGTGAGGGAATAGAAAGAAGACAGCCCTCTGTACACCAGGAAAAGTGCACTCACCAAGAACCTGACTATATCAGCACCCTGATCTCAAATTTCTAACCTCCAGAACTGTGAGAAATAAATGTTTGTTGTTTAAATCACCTAGACCATGGTAATTTTTTATAGCAGCCCAAACCAAGACAAACGTAATTGCAATCAAGTTTCTAAAAATATACAGTGGAAATTAAGAAAATCAAAAATTCAGTTGAAATTAAGAAAATCTAAAATCTAAAATAAAAGTTCTTCTTTAAAAAAAAAAAACTAGGCTAATTTTGATAAGAAAGATCCTTTCCCCATTGCTTGTTTTTGTCAGGTTGCTGAAGATCAGATGGTTGTAGACGTGTGGTGTTATTTCTGAGGCCTCTGCCCTGTTCCGTTGGTCTATATATCTGTTTTGCTATCAGTACCATGCTGTTTTGATTAGTGTAGCCTTGTAGTATAGTTTGAAGTCATGTAGTGTGAGGACTCCAGCTTTGTTCTTTTTGCTTAGAATTGTCTTGGCTATACAGGCTCTTTTTTGGTTCCATATGAACTTTAAAGTAGTTTTTTCTAGTTTGGTGAAGAAAGTCAATGGTAGCTTGATGGGAATAGCATTGAATCTATAAATTACTTTGGGCAGTATGGCCATTTTCATGACATTGATTCTTCCTATCCATGAGCATGGAATGTTTTTCCATTCGTTTGTGTCCTCTCTTATTCCCTTCAGCAGTGGTTTGTAGTTCTCCTTGAAGAGGTCCTTCACGTTCCTTATAAGTTGTATTCCTAGGTATTTTATTTTCTTTGTAGCAATTCTGAATTGGAGTTCACTCATGATTTGGCTCTCTGTTTGTCTGTTATTGGTGTATAGGAATGCTTGTGATGCTTGCACATTGAATTTGTATCCTGAGATTTTGCTGAAGTTGCTTGTCAGCTTAAGGAGTTTTGGGGCTGAGACGATGGAGTTTTCTAAATATACAATCATGTCATCTGCAAACAGAGACAATTTGACTTCCCCTCTTCCTATTTGAATACCTCTTATTTCTTTCTCTTGCCTGATTGCCCTGGTCAGAACTTCCAGTACTATGTTGAATAGGAGTGGTGAGAGAGGGCATCCTTGTCTTGTGCTGTTTTTCAAAGGGAATGCTTCCAGCTTATGCCCATTGAGTATAATAATGGCTATGGGTTTGAAATAAATAGCTCTTATTATTTTGAGATATGCTCCATCAACATCTAGTTTATTAAGAGGTTTTAGCATGAAGTGGTGTTGAATTTTATTGAAGGCCTTTTCTGCATCTATTGAGATAATCATGTGGTTTTTGTCATTGGTTCTGTTTATGTGATGGATTACATTTATTGATTTCTGTATGTTAAACCAGCCTTGCATCCCAAGGATGAAGCCGACTTGATCGTGGTGGATAAGCTTTTTGATGTGCTGCTGGATTTGGTTTTCCAGTATTTTACTGAGGATTTTCACATCAATGTTCATCAAATATATTGGCCTGAAATTTTCTTTTTTTGTTGTGTGTCTGCCAGGTTTTGGTATCAGGATGATGCTGGCCTCATAAAATGAGTTAGGGAGGATTCTGTCTTTTTCTATTGTTTGGAATAGTTTCAGAAGGAATGGTACCAGCTCCTCTTTGTACCTCTGGTAGAATTTGGCTGTGAATCCATCTGGTCCTGGGCTTTTTTTGGTTGGTAGGCTATTAATTACTGCCTCAATTTCATAACTTGTTATTGGTCTATTCAGGAATTCGACTTCTTCCTGGTTTAGTCTTGGGAGGGTGTATGTGTCCAGGAATTTAACCATTTCTTCTAGATTTTCTAGTTCATTTGCATAGAGGTGTTTATAACATTCTCTGATGGCAGTTTGTATTTCTGTGGGGTCCATGGTGATATCCCCCTTATCACTCTTTATTGTGTCTATTTGATTGTTCTCTCTTTTCTTCTTTATTAGTCTGGCTACTATTCTATCTACTTTGTTAATCTTTTCAAAAAACAGCTCCTGGATTCATTGATTTTTTGAAGAGTTTTTTGTGTCTCTATCTCCTTCAGTTCTGCTCTGATCTTAATTATTTCTTCTCTTCTGCTAGCTTTTGAATTTGTTTGCTCTTGCTTCTTTAGGATCCCCTATTTAATAAATGCTGCTGGAAAAACTGGCTAACCATATGCAGAAAACTCAAACTGTTACACCTTATACAAAAATTAACTCAAGATGGATTAAAGACTTAAACGTAAAACCTAAAATCATAAAAACCCTAGAAGAAAACCTGGGTAATACCATTCAGGACATAGGCATGAGCAAAGACTTTATGACTGAAACACTAAAAGCAATTGCAACGAAAGGCTAAATTTACAAATGGGATCTCATTAAACTAAAGATCTTCTGCTCAGCAAAAGAAACTATCATCAGAGTGAGCAGGCAACCTACAGAATAGGAGAAAACTTTTGAAATCTATCCATCTGACAAAGGTCTAATATCCAGAATCTACAAGGAACTTAAACAAATTTACAAGAAAAAAACAACCACATCAAAAACTGGGCAAAGGATATAAACAGACACTTCTCAAAATAAGACATTTATGCTGCCAACAAAGATATGAAAACAAGCTCATCCTCACTGATCATTAGAGAAATGCAAATCAAAACCACAATGAGATAGCATCTCACGCCAGTTAGAATGGAGATCATTAAAAAATCAGAAAACAACATGCTGGAGAGGATGTGAAGAAACAGGAACGCTTTTACACTGTTGGTGGGACTGTAAATTAGTTCAACCATTGCAGAAGACAGTGTGGAGATTCCTCAAGGGTCTAGAAGCAGAAATACCATTTGACACATCAATCTCATTACTGGGTATATACCCATGCACACGTATGTTTATTGCAGCACGGTTCACAATAGCAAAGACTTGGAATCAACCCAAATGCCCACCAATGATAGACTGGATAAAGAAAATGTGGCACATATACACCATGGAATACTATGCAGCCATAAAAAATAATGAGTTCATGTCCTTTGCAGGGACATAGACGAATCTGGAAACCATCATTCTCAGCAAACTAACACAGGAACAGAAAACCAATCACCACATGTTCTCACTCATAAGTGGAAGCTGAACAATGAGAACACATGGACACAGGGAGGGAAACATCACACACCAGGGCCTGTCAGGGGGTGGGGGGCAAGGAGGGGGAGAGCATTAGGACAAATACCTAATGCATGCAGGGCTTAAAACCCAGGTAATGGGTTGATGGGTGCAGCAAACCACCATGGCACATGTATACCTGTGTAACAAACCTGCACATTCTGCACATGTATCCCAGAAATTGAAGCATAATAAATAAATAAATAAATAAAATGAATAAATTTTTTTAAAGATAAGAAAAATCAGTGAGGGAAGGGGGACAAAGAGGAAGTATTTACTTTACCAGGTCAGTATTATACTACACAACCATAGTCATAAAGACAGTTCAATATTGGCATTAAAAAAGAAAACAATGGAACAGAAAAGGAAGCTCAAGAAAATATCCAAGTATTTATGGAAGCTTGATGTGTGAGAAAGGTGGCATCACAAATGAATGTGAAAAGAATTCAATGTTTAGTAGGGTATACTGGGAAAATTCCCTCTACATATAAAAATAATAAAATCAGAGCCCTGCTTTTAATCATGTAGAAATGTGAACTAACAGATGCATTAAAGGCCTAAATGTAAAAGCAGAAACCATAGAACTAATAGAAGATACAGAACGTCTTTGTGACCAAGAGGTAGGAAAGTACTTCTTAATAAGATACCAAAATTGTAAACCATTACATATTTTGTGGATTTACTCACCAAAAATCAAATATTTCTGTTCAACCAGGAATATCATGGACAAAACAAAGAAACAACAGACAAATGGCATACTAGAAAAAATATGTGCACGTCAAAGTACAACAAAGATTACTATCTAAGATAAATATGTAACTCTTATGAAACATTAGGGACATGATAGAAAATCCATAAAAAACTAGATAAAGCATATAAACAGACAATTCATAGAAAAGAACATGTGAATGTCTAATATTCCTATGAAGAGATGTTCAAAATGTACTAGGAATCAAGGAAATGCAGGTTAAAACAATGAAATTCTACTTTATGCCCAACAGAACAGCAAATGCTATAAAACTGAATAATACCAAGTAATAAACAATACATAAAGAAATGGGAACCTTCATACATTGCTGGCAGGAGTGTGAATTGCTACGGCTAGCCATTCTGGAAAAAAATTACGGCAATATTTCATGAAATTAAAACAAAATTGAAACTGGATACCTTAGTAGTTGTAAAAGGTACAAATGCACATTCCCTATGATGGAAAACTGGGTGAAATTCTCTAAGGTACATAAAATGAAAGCATTTTTTATGGGTGAAGTTGGAGAAAAAACTAGATGTCCATTTCTTGGGGAATAGACAAGGAAGAAGTGATAAGTGCATACTATGAGTATGTTAGGAGCAATAAATTAGATAAGCATATAACATCAAGGACAAATCATAAAGTCAGAAATCAGATGTGGTCTCTAGCACAATACTAGCTATACAAATCAAAAACACATGTGTGAAACAATACTACATGCTCCCTAAGAATATGCAAATATATAAATCCAAGAACACAGATGAAACATATCAGATAGAATAAGTGCCTATCGTAACAACTAACATTTATTGAACACTTATATGCTTAGCCCTGTTTTAAGTCTACTAACTAATGTACTAATTTAATTCTCAAAACATTTATCATTTTTATCCCTACTGTATAACTGAGGAAAATGATGCACAGAGAGGTTGATAGAGCAAGTGGGTGGTAGATGTGGAATTCAAGCCTAGGCAGTCCAGAGCCTGTGCTCTTTGCTTCCCCTATGTTCTCTGTGGAGAGGAGGCAAAAACTCAGGAGGGTAAATGAGAATAGTATGCCATGAATAAATAATTAACCCCCACACCTGAGATCTGCTAAAGGAAACAAAGTCTTCAATTACAGGATCTCCTTATTACAACTCCAAGTCAAGGGCTTATATAAAATGAGCAGGCAGATTATTAAATATTTGACCCTTTCTGGTTCTAAAATTTTCAAATCCTAATATTTGACTTTATGTTTTCTATGATAGAAGACCCAATCAGATACAGCATATCTGTGAAAAAAGAAAAATATATTATTTTTCACTTTTCTAGGGCAATCTAAATACTATGTCATAGAAATTAATTCTTAACACAAAGTAGGCACTTTCAGCAGGTAGATTATGATTTTAAGTTCTAGATTTTGGCAAACAAAGAAACTGGTTGCTCTGTTTATACACACAATACTAATACCACTAGCTAAATTAGCAGAACATTATTAGGGGGGAAATATTGTAACTTTAGCCCCTGAGGCTGCAAGTATTGTAGGGGTTATGTTATCATAACAGCTATGACATTTAGAGCAAAATAAAAACAAAGTAAAATACAAAGTAATCTTACAGTAGAATGCTTCCAGAAATGAATCATTTCAGTGATATTTGTTGCAGGATGCAGTAAAAAGTAGTACTTCCATTCATCCCAGTCTACTGTCATTGATCCATCACTATCCATGCTGAAATTTAAAAAAAAAGAAAATAGTACTTGTAACATTTATATCAAAGTTAGCACCACTATAAAAATAAATACTTCTTAAATATTTATTGTTGGAGTCACTCCTTTGGACTTTGTGAAATGACTGTATTTTCATATTGTTATTTAAGTGGACTTTATTTTTTAAGTAGTTTCAGATTTTCAGAAAAATTGAGACGATAACACAGAGAGTCCCATATGTCCCCACACTCAGTTTCCCCATTGGTAACATTTCACATTATTATTGTTATAATTAATGAACCAATATAGCTACATTATTATTCACTAAAGTCCATACTTTATTCAGAGTTTCTTAGCTTTTAACTAATGTCCTCTTTTTGTTTTAGGATCCCAGCTGAAATGGCACATTCTATTTGTCATCACATCTCCTTAGGCTCCTCTTGGCTATGATAGTTTCTCTTTCCCTGTTTTTGATAACCTTGATAGCTTCAAGGAGTGCTGATCAGGTAATTGGCAGAATGCCCCTCTAGTGGAATTTATTCCATATTGCTTTTTAATTATTTACTTGTATGTATTTCTCCCATATTTTCCTATGATGTTTTGAAGGGAAAGACCAAGTCATCTGTGTATCTCCAACACTTAGCATTCAATAAATATCTGTTGAGTGAATAAATAAATGGGTGAAAAGTGAATAAAACTGATTGAAGGGTAATTTTATGTCTTTTGGCTCTTCAAATATTATTTTTACTTCTTATCCTCTTCTCCCTATTTATAGCTTTTTAATCAAGTTTAAAACAACCTTTTATTTATGAATTTAAAGAGAAGACTCACTTTTTACCATGGAAAATTTAGGATTTACTCAATTTTTAAGCCTCTCAATTTTTTTTAAAAAAGGATCAGAAGTTGTTTCATTGTGTCTGACTAAAAGGTGGAATTAGTGAAATGCTTTTTAAGTAGCATTCTTGTAAATACAAATTCTAAAAAACAAATTCCATCCTGCCAACGAAAAGATTAGTACAATTTCCAGTTCTAGCCAAGACAAAATAGTGGCTATAGAACTTAGATTGCCACTGTAAACCAATCTGAAACTGGACACAATATATGAAAAATTGTTTTCAGGCATTGGTCTACAAACAGGACAGGGTTGTGATACTTAGAGAAGGAAACCGAGAAGTTGAGCTCTCCACTGATTCTCGTTTCCTGCTGGGGACACTCCAAATTGTAGCATAGATAAGTAGAAGCCTAAATAAAGAACAGGTGGGTAGAATAAACAAAGATTGGAGCTCAGGGCTGCTGAGAGGGCAGGATTTTCAGGTCAAATTTTGGACAGTGTTCCAGAAACTATACCGGTAACCTTGAATCTTTGGCTGAATACTAAGCTACACTTGACTCCATCAGCCTGACAAAAATAGCTGCTGGAGGACTGTGAGTTTATAGAAATTCAGTAGCTGAGCAATATTGGAGTCCAAAAAATAAAGCAAAGATGGAAGTGAGGGCAAGAAACATTACATACAGGAGGAACTGAAAAAAGCAACCACTGACATCAGAGTCAGCTCTTGATAGCAGACACCTTTTTTTTTTTTTTGAGACAGAGTTTGGCTCTTGTCGCCAAGCCCAAGCTGGAGTACAGTGGCACAATCTTGGCTCACTGTAACCTCCACCTCACAGGTTCAAGCGATTCTCCTGCCTCAGCCTCCTGAGTAGCTGAGATTACAGGCACCCGCCACCACACCCAGCTAATTTTTGTATTTTTAGTAGAGACAGGGTTTCACCATGTTGGCCAGGCTGGTTTTGAACTCTTGACCTCAGGTAATCCACCTGCCTCGGCCTCCCAAAGTGCTGGGATTACAGGCATGAGCCTCTGCTCCTGGCCGATAGTAGACATCTTTAGTGATAACTTCAAAGTGCTGAAAGAAAAAAAACTGTCAACCTAGAATGCAATTGCAATAAAAATAACCTTCAAAAATGAAGGTGATATAAAGACATTTTCAGGTAAACTAAATATTCCCTACAAAATTCACCTGTGGGCAATGTGCACCGCTTCAATCTGCTTTGCCTTATGACACTACATTGTAATCATCTGGAATTATCTACTAGCCTGAAACCCTCAAGTGGGGACTTTGGCTTGTTCACAACTGCATCTTTTGTAGCTGGAGCTATGACTGACATTTATAAAAGTTCTATAAATAAATTTTGAATAAATCATTGAGATCAGGAATTCATAATTTATCTTAGAGTATGATTCAGCAGGGTATTTCCAATTTTCCAAAAACAGTATAGCAACATATAAGTTTGTGAGTAAAGGCTTATAAAATATCACTTGTCATATCAATGAAAAAATCCATAGATTGACAACACTCCCAAGTTTTTATCAAACTTGTCCTGTTATTTCTTTTTTTAAAAAAGCTTTTTTTAATTTTAAGAAAGCTTATTTCTTGTTTAATTACTTATGAATACAGAACATATTCTGTATGATTCCAGTTCTTTATTAAAATCTTTTGCATTTCCTTTATGACCCAATGTATGGGCAATTCTTATAAACGCCCTATGTGTGCTTTAGGAAACACATATTCTTCAGTTTTTGAGTGCAATATTCTATGTATGTTTGCCAGGTAAAGGTTAGTGATGGTATTGCTATATTTAATCTTTAATGGTTAAATCTATACAAATTAGGAACTAGCTTGGGTCCCAAGACAGCTAGTCTTTCTGCCCAGCCTCAGAGGCTCCCAGTGACCCCAACCAGGCAGGGAGATGCCTACCTCTACCCATTTCAAAGAAGCAAAGGGACACGACCAGCTTGACTACGTAAGTCAAGCAGCAGCCATACCCTACCAAAAGCCCATCCCATGGATTCACCCTTAAAGGGAAATAATCCTCAATCATGCATTTCTAAGGAGCATTGCCCCTAGTCCCACCTATCACGAGCAGCAACTCTGCTTAAACTCAGAGCCCAGCTTATGGTCCTGCCCAACTAAAGAACCCAAATAGTGAAATTGTTCATTAAAAAAATACACTGTGACTGGCCTGACCAGAAGCCATCACAGTACTGCCTGATAGCAGAGCCCAGCCAGTGGTCTCATCAGATAGTGCAGCCCAGCCAGTATCTGATACCAGATGTTGATATCAGATGACATCAGAGCAAAGGCAGCATCTCAGCCAACTAGAGAACCCACAACAAGTTCTGCCTGCCAGGGGTCATCACCAGCTGGTCCTTCCAGAATCACAGGCTGGACTAAATAGTGAAGATTTATCCCTGCCTCAAAACAACTTTAAAGGACAGAAGAGAGGCTGCCTTGCAAATATGCAGATAACAATACAAGAACACAAGGATTACAGAAAATCAAGGAATCATAACACCTCCAAAAGAAAGTAATAAAGTGCCAATGATAGACCCCAAAGAAAAGGAGATCTATGAAATTACTGACAAAGAATTCAAAATAATCCTCTAAAAGATCAACATAAAAGTATACAAATATAACATTTAATGAAATTTGGCAAAACAATACACAAAGTGAGAAGCTCAACGATGAAATAAAAACATTAAAAAGAATCAAGTAGAAATCCTAGAGATGAAGAATACAATGACTGGACTGAAAAATTCGGTAAAAATTATTAACCACAGATTCTATCTTTCTTCTGATAGAATCAATGGGCCAAAAAATAGAAAATTTGAAATTATCCAGTCAGAGGAACAAAAAGACAAAAGACTGAAAAAGAATGAAGAAAACCTACAGGAACTATGGGATACCATCAAAAGATCAAACCTGGCCAGGTGTGGTGGCTCACACCTGTAATCCCAGCACTTTGGGAGGCCAAGGCGGGTGGATCACGAGGTCAGGAGATTGAGACCATCCTGGCTACCACGGTAAAACCCTGTCTCTACTAAAAATACTAAAAAATTAGTTGGGCATGGTGGTGGGTGCCTGTAGTCCCAGCTACTTGGGAGGCTGAGGCAGGAGAATGGTGTGAACCCAGAGGCAGAGTTTGCAGTGAGCCAAGATCGCACCACTGCACTCCAGTATGGGCGACACAGCGAGACTCTGTCTCAAAAAAAAAAAAAAAAAAAAAAAAAATCAAACCTTTGCATAATAGGATAAAGGGCAAGAACATGTATTTAAAGATACATTGGCTAAAGACTTCCCTAATTGGGGATAGATGCCAACATCCAGATATAGGAAACACAGAGATGTTCAATCAAATTCAACTCAAAGAAGAGTTCACCAAGACACATAGTAATCAAACCACCAAAAATCAAAGACAAAAAATTCTGAGAGCAGCAAAAGATAAGAAACATATCACGTAAAAAGGAGTGCCAATACAACTATCAGTAGATTTCTCAGCAGAAACCCTACAGGCCAGGAGACAGTGAGATGATACATTCAAAGTGCTAAAGAAAAAAAAAACTGCCAACCAAGAATACTTTATCTGCAAAACTGTCATTCAGAAATGAGGCATAAAAACTTTCCCAGAAAAAAGCTAAGGGAGTTCATTATCATGAGACCTGCTTTGCAAGGATTGCTAAAGGGAGTTATTTAAGCTGAAACAAAAGGCTGGTAATTAATGACACGAAACAAATGAAAGCACTAAGCTAAATGGTGTAAGTAACACAGATACATATTTAGAATATTCTGGGAATGTAATGGTGACAAAGCAATTTTATCCCTGGTGCAAGGGTTAAAAGAAAACTATTAATAACTGTAGCTAAAATAAATTGTCGAAAGAAACACATTATAAAATGACATAAATTCTGACATCAAAAGCATAAAATATGGGGAAGGGGCCATAAAAGTACTTTGCTATGTACAAAGTTGAGTTGTTATCAGCTTGAAATAGGCTATTACAAGTATAAGATGCTCTATGTAGGCCTCATGGTAACCACAAATCAAAAATCTTTAGCAGAAGGACAAAACAAAAATAGAAAGCATTCAAAGCATTCCACTACAGAAAAATATCAAACAATAAAGGAAGATAGCAAGAGAAGGAGAGAGAAACAAAGTATCTACAAAACAAGCAGAAAACAATTCACAAAATGGTAGTATTAAGTCCTTACCTATCAAAAATTACCTCGAATGTAAATGTATTAAATAACTGAATAGAAAGATATAGAGTGATAAATGGATTTTAAACGTCCTGTTTTTTTTAAAGAAATTTTTTAAATCGAATGCTGTGTACAAAAGACTCTTCTTACTTTTTTTTTTTTTTTTTTTTTTTTTTGAGACGGAGTCTCGCTCTGTCGCCCAGGCTGGAGTGCAGTGGCGGGATCTCGGCTCACTGCAAGCTCCGCCTCCCGGGTTCACGCCATTCTCCTGCCTCAGCCTCCCGAGTAGCTGGGACTACAGGCGCCCGCCACTACGCCCGGCTAATTTTTTGTATTTTTAGTAGAGACGGGGTTTCACCGTTTTAGCCGGGATGGTCTCGATCTCCTGACCTCGTGATCCGCCCGCCTCGGCCTCCCAAAGTGCTGGGATTACAGGCGTGAGCCACCGCGCCCGGCCGACTCTTCTTACTTTTAAGGACACATATAATTGAAACTATTTTGGAAAACAAGAGAGCAGGGATAGCTAAACTTATTTAAGACAAAATAGATTTTAAGTCAAAAATTGTAAAAAGAGACAAAGTAACACATTATATAATGACACAGGACTCAATTCATCAAGAGAACAGAACAGCTATAAATATGTACTCACCCAACACTAGACCATGATTTATAAATTATAGGATCTGGAGGGAGAGATATTGCAATATGATAATACTCAGGAGCTTCAATACCCCAGTTTCAACAATGGATATCTAATCTAGAAAGAAAATTAGTAAGGAAAGATTGGACTTGACCAACATTTTCAACCAAATGAACCTAACAGACAAATATGAAACCTTTCATCCAACAGAAACAGAATACACATACTTCTCAAGGGCACACAGAACATTTTCCAAGACAGATCATGTTAGGGCACAAAACAAGCCTCAGCAAATGTAAGAAGACTGAAATAGTATCAAATCTCTTCTGACCAAAATGCCATTAAACCAGAAATAAATAGCAACAGGAATTTTGGAAAATTCACAGATCCATAGAAACTGAACAGGCCCTAAACAACAAACGAGTCAATGAAGAAATTAAAAGGAAAATTTTAAAAATATCTTGAAACAAACTAAAATGGAAATACAACATACCAAAACTTGTGGGATACAGCAAAAGCAGTTCTAAAAGTGAAATTTACAGCAATAAATCCCTAGATAAAAAAAGAAGAAACATCTCAAATAATTAACCTAATGTTACACCTAAAGGAACTAGAAAAAGAACAAACTAAGTGAAAAGTTAGCAAAGAAAAAAAAAGAAATATTAAAAATCAAAGCAGAAATAAATGAAAGGCCAGGCGTGGTGGCTCACCCCTATAATCCTAGCACTTTGGGAGGCTGAAGCAGGCAGATCACTTGAGGTAAGGAGTGCAAGACCAGCCTGGCCAACATTGTGAAACCCTGTCTCTACTAAAAATACAAAAATTACCTGGTGTGGTGGCACACGCCTGTCATCCCAGCTACTCAGGAGGCAGAGGCAGGAGAATCACTTGAACCCGCGAGGTGGAGGTTGCAGTGAGTCGAGGTCACACCACTATCCACCACTTTCCCTCTGATGCATCACTAATTACTTTAAACCTAAGTGGATTAAACTCTCCAACCAAAAGATAGAGATTAGCAGAAAAATGAGAAAATGGTCCAACTATCTGCTGTTTATAAGAAACTCACTTAAGAGCCAAAGACACAAATACATTGAAAGTAAAAGAATGAAAAAAAATTCCATGCAAATGGTAACCAAAAGAGACCACTGATAGCTATACTAATATGAGATAAAACAGACTTTAAACTAAAAAAAAAAAAATGAGATAAAGGACATTATATAATGATAAAAGTTTCAATACATCAAGAAGATACAATAATTACAAATATTTTTTGCATATAACAGGCCATCAAAACATATAAAGCAAAAATTGGAAGAATAGAAGGGAGAAATAGTTAGTTCTACAATATTAGTTGAAGAATTCAATACCCCAAACTGAATAATGAATAGAATAACCAAACAGAAGATAAGTAAGGAAACAGAGAATTTGAACACCATAAACCATCTAGATCTAACAGGCATATACAGAATATACTATACAACAGGAAAAAAATACACACTCTTCTCAGTAACACAGAGGACATTCTCCAGAAAAGATCATACTCTAGGTCACAAAACAAGTCTTAATAAATTTTAAAAGACTGAAATCATGCCAAGTATCTTTTCTTACCACAGTGGATGAAACCGGAAATCAATGACAAAATTAAAACTGGAAAGTTCATAAATGGGTAGAAATTAAATAACACACTCTTGAAAAACTATGGGTCAAAGAAAAAATAAGAAAAATTAGAAAATATCTTTAGACAAATGAAATCAAAAGTACAAGATACCAAAACTTACGAGATATGGCAAAAAGCTGTACTAAGAGAGAAGTTTACAGAGATAAATGCTTACATTTAAAAACAACAAAAAAAAGAATAAAGATCTCAAATCAGCAACCTAACTTTACAACTTAAGGAACTAAAAAAAAAGAGCAAATTAAATCCAAAACTAGCAGGCAGAAAAAATAAAGATTAGAACAGATATAGATGAAATGAGAAAAGAAATATAATAGAGAAAAACAACTAAATCATAAGTTAGTTCCTCAAAAAGATCAACAAAATCGGCAAACCTTTAGGTGGATGGACTAAGAAAAAAGAAAGAAACAAGAGTCAAATTACTAACATCAGAAATGAAAGTGGGGACATAACTACTGATTCTATGGATATAAAAACGATTATAAGAGAGTACAATACACTATATGCCAACAAATTGGTTACCCTGGATGAAATAGAAAATTCCTAGAAACACAAAACCTACCAAGACTAAATTATGAAGAAATAGAAAATCTGAATAGTCTATAACTAATGAGGAGGTTGAATCAGTAATCAAGAATCTCCCAATTAAAAAAAAAAAAAGAAAAGCCCAGGATCTGATAGCTTCACTGCTAAATTCTATGATTTAAAAACTAACCCCACTACTTCTCAAACATTTCCAAATAAACTTTTAAAATTTGATTCATCCTATGAGGCCAGTATATACCCTATGAGGCCTATGAGGCCCAATACCAAAGCCATACAAAGACACTACAAGAAAAGAAAATTACAGACCAATGTCTCTCATGAACACTAATACAAGAATCCTCCAAAAAAATGATAGCAAACTGAATTTATTAGGTTAAAAAGGTTATACACCATCCTCAAGTGATATTTATTCCTGGAATACAAGGAGGGTTCAACATTTTAAAAAATCAATCAGTGTAATACATAACATTAACAGAATGATGGCAAAAAACACAAACATCGCAATTGATGCAGTAAAAGCATTTGACAAAAGTCAACAACCTTTCATGATAAAAGCACTCAACAAACTAGGAATACAAGAAAACTATCCTCAATATGATAAAAATCGTATGTGAAAAACCTACAATGAACATCATACACAATAGTGAAAGACTAAAAGCTTTTTTCTCTAAGATTAGAAATAGGCAAGTATGCCCACTTTCATCACTTCATTCAACGTAGTACTGGAAGTTCTAATCAGAGCAATTAGGTTAGAAAAAGAAATAAAAGCCATCCAATTTGGAAAGCAAGAAGTAAAATTATCCCTTTTTCAGATGATATGACTTTATATTTAGAAAATCCTAAAGACCCACCCCCCCCACACACACACAAAATGTTAGAATAAACAAATTCAGCAAAGTGGCAAGATGCAAAGTCAACACAAAAAAATCAGTTGCATTTCTATACCTATATGCTAACAATAATTAATCCGAAAAGGAAATTAAGGAAACAATGCCATTAAAGCATCAAAAGAATAAAGCACTTAGGAATTAACCTAACCAAGAAGGTAAAAGACTTATGCAATGAAAACTATAACACATTTCTGAAACAAATTAAAGAAAACATAAATAAATGGAAAGATGTCCCACGTTCATGGGCTGGAAGACTTAATATTGTTAAGATGTCTATACTACCCAAAACAATTTACAGATTCAGTGCAATCCCTACCAAAATCCCAATGATGAATTTGCAGAAGTAGAAAAACCCATACTAAAATTCACATGGAATCTCAAGGGACCCCAAATAGCCAAAACAATTCTGAAAAAGAAGAACAAAGCAGGAGGACTCACTTCTTGATTTCAAAACTTACTGCAAAACAAGAGTGATTAAAACAGTGTGCTACTAACATAAAGACAGAAATATACACCAGTGGAATAGAATAGAGAGCCAAGAAATAAACACTTAGGCATATGTGCTCAAATAATTTTTGACAACAGTGCAAAGACCATTCAATAGGGAAAAGACAGTTTTTTCAACAAATGAAGCTGGGAAAACTGAATATCTGCATGCAAAAGAATGACATTGGACCCTTAATTAACACCCTATTAAAAATTAATTCAAAAAGGATCTATGACCTACATGTAACTCTTAAAATTATGAAACTTTAGAGAAGACGACACAGGGCAAAATCTTCTCGACAATGGATTTGGCATTGATTTCTTAGACATGACATCAAAGGTACAGGCAACCAAAACACGACAAATTGGACTTCATGAAAATTTAAAACTTTGTGCATCAAAAGTAAAAAGGAGACTCATAAAACGGAAGTAAACATTTGCAAATCATATATATAATAAGGGGTTCATATACAAACTATACAGAAAACTCCTAAAAATCAACAACAAAAAAAAACCTAATTTGAAAATGAACAAAGAACTTGGACATTTCTCCAAAGAAGTTATACAAATGGCTACTAAGCACATGTAAAGATGCCCAGCATCACTAAAGAGGAGTCCAGATGGTTTGGACTTCTAGCAACAACCAAAAAAAAAAAAATCTCACCAATAAAGAGCTTTACAGTCTTCAGACCTAACTCCTAAAATTCAATAGGAGTTATATCTGAAGACTGCTAAGCATTGACAGAAAATAAATAAAATAATTTTTTTCTCTTGATATTCTGAAACTTCCATCTAAATAGTTTAAAAATAATCAAGTCAAGACTGGCCTAGAGAAGGAAGGTATTCCTAATTTAGATGAGGTTCTAAAACAATCAGCTGAAGTGTACACCCATGGATCAAAGTCTGACTTCCCCTAGACCTTGGTGTGGATGTCAGAAAGAGAATAGCTCTGGGGCTCTTATCTGTGCCTGTCGTTTGGAGACGACCCTGAAGCACACTGCCCTGGGCAGAGAAACCCCTAAGAAAAGAGATGTTCCTTTACTTCTGCACAAAGGCTAACATGGCGCCTGACGTTGTGTGCTGGTTCCATAAATTTTGAACGAGTCACCAGAAACAGCATCTCCCCAAAAGCCCCCTGAAGGTCTTTGTCACTACGGAAAGTGGCTTTTTTTTTTTTTTTTTTTTTTTTTTGAGATGGAATCTCGCTCTGTCGCCTGGGCTGGAGCGCAATGGTGCTATCTCGGCTCACTGCAACTTCCGCCTTCCGGGTTCAAGCGATTTTCCTGCCTCAGCCTCCGGAGTAGCTGGGATTACAGGCGCGCGCCACCACGCTCGGCTAATTTTTGTATTTGTTTAGTAGAGACGGGGGTTTCACCATGTTGGCCAGGCTGGTCTCGAATGCCTGACCTCAGGCGATCCACCCGCCTGGGCCTCCCAAAGTGCTGAGATTACAGGCGTGAGACACCGCGCCCGGCCGGAAAGTGGCTATTTTAAGAAGATTGAGAACATGTTTCGTTGGGTCGCATTATTCTGCGTGACGAGGCTCACAGAGGAGAACCCCACCCTTACTCCAAAGGCCTTTGAAAGCAGCTCTGGAAAGGGCAGGGTTTGCTTCTCCCTCTGCCCAACGTCTCCCCAGGCTGCCTGTGCCACCTTCCGGTCTCACCTCCTCGGAGTTGGGGTCAAACGCGGAGCTCCAGTTTCTCAGCCCCTCCTGGAGCTCAATGATGTCCACCACGCCGTCCCCATTGCAATCCAGGTCTTCGAAGAGGATCCCGTAGCGTAAGTAGTCATCGTTATCCTGGCAGGCCACCGCCTCCAGCACGAAGCCCTGCATCCAGAGCAGCATGGCTGGGTCCAGAGGCTGCGGGGACCACTCGGCCACCCAGCCAGCACCGCAGCACTCGCCGCCGCCTCCTCGACGCCTGGCTGCGCAAGGCAGGGGGTCCCGGCCGTCCGCCAGCTTCTGCAACTGTCTAGCGGAGCCGCCGCAGTTCGGAGCCCACGCGGGCCAAGCCACCCGCGCCTGCGGGCTCTTGGGCGCCACGGAAAGGCTGCGCCACCTTGTGGGACCTCTGGCCGAGGCGCCACGCGACAGTTGAGACGCCAGATGTGAGTTGAGGTGCCAGACGTGGCGGCGTTGGGTACCCAGGACCCTCGGACGGGTAGGTCGACGGGGGAACCAAGGGACGTTTGGGGAAAGGGAGCGCATTCCCCAGCAGGCTTGAAAGGGCACTCGCGGGTGTTTAAGATTCTCGCGGTACAGACTCAGTTCCTGCCGGAAGTCACTGCTGCGGGAGATGTGGCATGGAGTGAGCTGCTCAGACTCGCTCTTATGCCAGCATCCAGTACTCTGGTGCCACCCTTCCTCCCAGGACGACCTGCACCTGGGGGTCAGGACCCCGGCGACCCCCAAAAGAGGTCTAAAGAGGGAAGGCCTCCTGAGGAGCCTCTGCCCTGTCCCTGTCTCTTCCCTCCTTACCGGCCTAGCCCATGTTGGCAAACCTATTTTGGCCATACTGGGATTAGACTTTTCATGTTCTTATATGACCTTTTTCCAGTTAATTGGATTGGGTGCAGAAATACTTCTATCTCTATTAATAAAAGAAAAATAAAAATAAATAATAACTAAAGGGAAGATACATACAGATTAAAATTAGAACATGTCTCCAAATCCAGAAATATGAAACACACATCATAACAGTTCCAATTTATATGCCACATTTCTATTCATAAATTTTGTTCTAAAATAAAGAGAAAAAATAAATAGCAAAATACTTTAAAGTAGATCTGAAGCATTCAAAGTATTTTTTGGTATGCATTTATTTTAAATCAATCTCTGATTTTTATTATCTATAGGGCTATTAAGGGATCCAGTTGCCGTTTATTTTTCCTCTATATTTTAGAAGTTCGTATAAACAAATTTAATTTCTAATTCCTTGTTAATTATGAGGCATGATAACACATACTAATTTATCAAGATGTGCTTTATATTAGTCACATTTATGTGAACTTTAGGAGTTGATTATATTTAAGTTTCAAATCTTTCTAGTAATCCTATTAAGAAAAAAAGGGAGAATCTAACTAAAAATTGACTTTGGTTACTCAAATTTATGTTAATTGTGCATTTATATTCATTTCAATTTTTAGAAAATTTAACAACTTAATCCCATCATTAATCATTTATTAAGTACCCTATCCCAACCTGAGAAAATTAAATTTCTCTAATTTCACAGCAAATTCAAACATGGCATTTAACAAGAGGGAAAAAATGGTATCAAATATTCTTCTGAATTTTAACACTTTACAGTGAGAGCAGATTTTAACTACATTTTAATAACCTTGAGAAGTATGTTACAACCCCAAATATTAAAGTAACTCAAAATCTTTAATTTATAAAATGGCAGAAATATCTGTGTCCTGAAAAACTGGAAAAATGGACTGATCTAATGTATTACTAGTTGTTTGGTATATTATAAATTATATAATTATAGTTACATTTATTAAATCACAATTTTAGAACCCATCTAATCTTTATAATGTAGCTATACATAGACATCTTAAAATATCTTTGGCCTAGTCTCTTTCAACATAAATTGAAAAGATAGAGGCAAAAAAAGTAGGGATGGATGAGAATACTATTCATCCTTCATGTAAGTTTAAGACTGTAAAGGGAAGTTCCAGTCAGCCTTTGTTCTAGTAGATCGGAGCTTGAAAGTAAAGTATAAAGTACATAGAGAAAAAAAGAAAAACTCAGTCTTTTTTAACACAGATTTAAGTATAAGAGCTCACACATTTTTCTGAATTACTTTGGTCACGTTGGTGATTTCGTGTAATGTTTAAATATTAAAAAAAAAAGCAAGCGTAGCTAAAAATGTCTGTATCTCTAAATAAGAGTGCTCAGAAAAGGAATAAGAGGTCACCATTATTCCATTGACAACACTGGTAGGAGACTGAGGTATTCTGATGCCATGAAATTCTGTTTAGGACTTTCTATTTTGTTTTGTCTATTTTAGAGAAAGAAAAGGAGCCCAAACTTGACTGTTTTGCTATGAATTATAGTTTTAAATGCGTGAGTTTTCTATTAGTGCTTTCAAACATTTTAAATGTTCGCATATGGCAAGGAGAGGTGAAAAAATAAAAATAAATTTAAAATGCACATAAAGCACTAAAATGTTAGCTTTTTAAAATACAAAGTAGAGAATTCAGGAAAACTTCAAAATATTCCAACTGTTTAATATGAAATACTAGGTTAATTATATACTTAGGTTATATTCTGTATTATAAATTGCATTCTAATCCACTTAAATGCAAATTTCTATGACTGTTCATTAAAATTTGGAGAAATATAAATAGATTTTATGAATGTTGAAGATTTTAATTCACCAATAAATTAATAAACTGTTTCTTGTTTACTTAAAATTCAATATTTAATTTGTAAGTTTACCTCTTGGGAAAATGGATATAGCATCTTTTCATACAGACCTTTTGCAAATTAAGGAAAAAGCCAAGACATTTTCATGTTTATAAACAAGTGTCCAGATAATGACGGTTCAAGATTTCATTTCTGCTTTTTATTTTTGAGACGGAGTTTCACTCTGGTTGCCCAGGCTGGAGTGCAGTGGCACAATCTCGGCTCACCGCAACCTCTGCCTCCTGGGTTCAAGCGATTCTCCTGCCTCAGCCTCCTGAGTAGCTGAGATTACAGGCGTGTGCCACCATGCCTGGCTAATTTTGTATTTTTAGTAGAGATGGGGTTTCTCCATGTTGGTCAGGCTGGTCTTGAACTCCCGACCTCAGGTAATCCGCCCACCTCAGCCTTCCAAAGTGCCGAGATTACAGGCGTGAGCCACCATGCCCGGCCTCAAGATTTCGTTTGTAAAATATTCCCCAAGAGCGGTTTTGCTGATTCATAAACCACACAGTTTACAACACACTGAAGTAAGAAACTTTATGAAATATGGAGTCATGCCTCTGGAAAATCCTGTCACTCCACTCCTTTTATAAATTTAAGAAAATAAGCTGATCATATTTAGCTGTGGGACTCATATCATGGCTAGAGAATTCAAGGAAAGGGAAAAGTCCAATTAATTTGATATTTTAGCTTTCTTTTAAATAGTAAGCTAAAACTTGCTAAAACAGATAATAAAATAAAATTAATTAAATTACTTCACAAGGATCCCCAAGGGAAAATCTCTGGTTAATTACACTTTATAGTCGGAGGCTCTCATGGAACTATGTGATGATCATCACTATTTAATTTTCATTCCTTTTAGGAACAAAGTCAGTCCACTAATGGTGAAATCTACTTATAATTATTGTGGAGTTACAATTTTAAAAATTCTCTAGGCATACACAGATACCTTCATTCAACCTCTCATGTCTTAAGAACATCTCAAATTCAGAAACAAAAAAAAATATGTTTCTCATTCCATGTTTCACTTTTCAGGGAATGGCTGCACCATTCATATAGCTTCTGAAACTGAAAACCTGGAATGTATCCATGACATTTCCCTCTCCTTCATCTTACACATCTAAACCATCACCTACCAGTTTCACTCTCCAAGTTTCTCTCAAATCCATCCACTTATCTTCATGTCCACTGCCACACCTTCTGTCTCCAAACTACCATCATCTCTTGCCTAGACTGTTGTGATTACCCTCCTCTTTCCATTTTTTTCTCTATCCTTTAACCAGAGTAAACTTCCAACAATGCAAATCTGATACTTTCCTTCTTCAGTAATTTCCCATTATGCTTAAAGACAGTATCATCTGACCTCTGTTTCCTCCTCCCAACTCACCTGTACCACTCTTGCTTTCTGTACTCCAGCCATACAAGCTACTTTTCAGTTTCTCAAAGTGTCCCATTCTTCTTCCTTCTTCAGGCTCATTACACATGCTTTCCCCTTTGCATGAAAGTCATTCCCTGTTCTTTGCTCATTTAACTCCACCTCAGTCTTCAGCTCTCAGTTCAGTATTTTTCTCTGTTCATATATTTTTTAAGAAACTCTTTCCAGAACTTCCTCATTTCCCCTATTAATGGCCCTCAGAGAACCCTATTTTTCCTCTGTAGCTATAATCGCAGTTTATAACTATATATTTGTATAAATGTTTAATTAATTTCTGTCTTCCCTACTAGACTATCAATTCTATAACAGCAGGGTCTCTGTTTGCTCACCCGAACCCCATGTGTTTGGCACATTGCACAGTACCTGGCTACCTTAAATTCTCAAATTACAATAGCTAGTATTTTTCTTTCTAATCTTTATATTTTGCTAGCATTTTTCTCTCTAATCTTTATATTATATTCCCAAAGTTGATGTAGCTAAATAGAGTGAAATCAATAGACAATTGAAAAGTAAGTCTTTCACTGTTTTAGTCTAAACATTCTGTTCCCCCCTCCCACCCACCCCTACAAGAAATTAAATAACTCCTTTAAAATGTAGAGAAGATCCCTTGAAAATTTAGAAAATATTTACTTGCCATGGAATTTCTTGGAAAATGTTCTATTGCTATATGCGTCTTTTTGTTTTTTTAATCAGAAACTAGTAACATCCCCTCCAGTTTTTATAGTTTTGTAATTAAATTGGAAACTTTCTTACTTTTTTCTAATGTTGAACTTACTTTGCCCATTGATTTTCTCCCAACTTATTATGAAAACTGTAAACTCTAAAAAGGATGGCACAATGAATATTTATATATTCACCACCTATAAAATTTAACATTTTGCCATAATTACATTTTGTCTCTCTCCATTCTACTTAAACATATATATAAATGTGTGTGTGTCTATCTGAGCCATTTGAAAGTAAGTTACAGATATGATGACACTTAACCATAAAGTACTTGGACATATCCTAAAAACAAGGAGATTAGCTTACATAACCACAATGCCATAATTATATTTTAGAAATTTAAAAATAATTCTCTATTACTTGAGATGCTAAGGCAGGAGGATCACTTGAGCTCCGGAGTTTGAAGCCAGCCTGGGCAACATAGCAAAGCCCTGTCTCTTTAAAAATAAATAAATAAATAAATAAACAAACAAACAAATAACCTCTATACCATCAATACTTATTCTATATTCAAATTTTCCCAATTGTCCCCAAAATGCCATTTACAGATTTTTTCAAACTAATATCCAAATAAATTTACCCATTGCCCTTACTATGTTTATTCTCTTAATCAAGACTAGTAACAGTCCACCACCAACACTGTTTTTTCCACAACAATGACTTTTTGAAGAACCCAGCTCAACTGTCTTGTAGAATATTCCACAATCATGATTTGTTTGATTGTTTCTTAATGGTATTGTTTAACTTGTTCCTCCATCACCTGTATTTTCTACAGTTCTAAAGACATGGTCAGATTCTAGTAAAAAAATCTGGGCAAAAATACTTCATAGGAGAGGCTATGAAATTTGCTGTCTCCTCAGTTTAATAACATCTTTGTTTTCTTTCTAAAATATTTACCATCTGTCCTGTAACTTGGACCCTATTCACCTAAGCTGAAATTTGTTAAATATCTAAGAAAAAAAAACAGGGTGAATGAAGTTCTTATGTCAATGTACTTTTCTTCTCTCTCTTTGTTTTTCTTGCATTGTTTGCTCTCCCATTGTTTGTTCTCCCATAACTTGAAGCAGTGACTTTCTTCCTTATTACTAGCAATAAGGAAGGACATCTTATAATAATAAAAGGGTCAATCCTAAATTTATGTGCACATAATAATATAGCTTCAAAATACATAATGCTAAAGTGGCAAACGTAGAGGAGTAATAGGGAAATCCACAATCATGGTTAGAGATTTAAACATACCTTTTTCAGTAGCCAGTAAGACAAGCAGACAAAAAAATTAATAGGAATCTAAAACATTTGAATAACACATTTAACTAATTGATCTTATAGAACACATATATAGAACACAAAATACAACTTCAAAATCCATTTATTTGAAAGAACAGAAATCATACAAAGCACATTCTGATGGCAGTGCAATTAAAACAGGAGTTCACCGTCAGGAAGGTAATTGGAAAAATCCCCAAATGTTTGTAAATTCAGCAATATATTTCTACATAACTGATGGGTGAAGAAGAAATCACAATGGAAACTGGACATTTTGAAATAAACAATAATGAAAACATTACATATCAAAATTTATTGAGTGTAGGGAAAGCAGAACTTAGAGGGAAATTAAAACTTTAAATTAATATACTAGAAAAGAAAAAAAAAGTCAATTATTTAAGACAGGGATTGGCAACCTTTTTCTGTTACTGTCCAGATAATAAATATTTTAGGCTCCGCAGGCCATGTGATCTCTCGCAGTTACTCAACTCTGCCCTTGTAGCCATAGACAATACAAAAACAAATGGAAGTGGCTGTGTTACAATTAAATTCAATTTACAGAAATAGGTGGCAGGTCAGATTTGGCCCTCAGGCCAAAGTTTGCCAACCCATGACCTAAACTTCAAACCCAGGAAACTAAACAGGAAAATAAACAGAAAGAAAGGAGGATGAAATAGTAAAGATAGGAGTAGAAACTAATGAAACAGGCCAGGTATGGTGGCTCACACATGTAGTCCCAGCAATTTGGGAGGCTGGGCAGGCAGATCACTTGAGGTCAGGAGTTCAAGACCAGTCTGGTCAACAAGGTAAAAAATCAGCCAGGCATGGTAGTGCATGCCTGTAGTCACAGCTACTTGGGAGGCTGAGGTACATGAATCCCCCATATCATTTCTGATTGTGTTTATTTGAATTTTCTCTCTTTTCATCTTTATTAGTCTTGCTAGTGGTCTATTTTATTGCCTTTTTTTTTTTTCCAAAAAACCAGCTCCTAGATTTGTTGATTTTTTGAAGGGTTTTTCATGTTTCTATCTCCTTCAGTTTCACTTTGAGCTTCATTATTTCTTTTCTTTTTTTTTTTAAATTATTATTATACTTTAAGTTTGAGGGTACATGTGCACAATGTGCAGGTTAGTTACATATGTATACATGTGCCATGCTGGTGTGCTGCACCCATTAACTCGTCATTTAGCATTAGGTATATCTGCTAAAACTATCCCTCCCCCCTTCCCCCACCCCACAACAGTCCCCAGAGTGTGATGTTCACCTTCCTGTGTCCATGTGTTCTAATTGTTCAATTCCCACCTATGAGTGAGAATATGCAATGTTTGGTTTTTTGTTCTTGTGATAGTTTACTGAGAATGATGATTTCCAATTTCATCCATGTCCCTACAAAGGACATGAACTCATCCTTTTTTATGGCTGCATAGTATTCCATGGTGTATATCTGCCACATTTTCTTAATCCAGTCTATCATTGTTGGACATTTGGGTTGGTTCCAAGTCTTTGCTATTGTGAATAGTGCTGCAGTAAACATATGTGTGCAAGCGTCTTTATAGCAGCATGATTTATAGTCCTTTGGGTATATACCCAGTAATGGCATGGCTGGGTCAAATGGTATTTCTAGTTCTAGATCCCTGAGGAATCGCCACACTGACTTCCACAAGGGTTGAACTAGTTTACAGTCCCACCAACAGTGTAAAAGTGTTCCTATTTCTCCACATCCTCTCCAACACCTGTTGTTTCCTGACTTTTTAATGATTGCCATTCTAACTGGTGTGAGATGGTATCTCATTGTGGTTTTGATTGAACTTCTCTGATGGCCAGTGATGGTGAGCATTTTTTCATGTGTTTTTTGGCTGCATAAATGTCTTCTTTTGAGAAGTGTCTGTTCATGTCCTTCGCCCACTTTTTGACAGTGTTGTTTGTTTTTTTCTTGTAAATTTGTTTGAGTTCATTGTGGATTCTGGATATTAGCCCTTTGTCAGATGAGTAGGTTGCAAAAATTTTCTCCCATTTTGGAGGTTGCCTGTTCACTCTGACGGTAGTTTCTTTTGCTGTGCAGAAGCTCTTTAGTTTAATTAGATCCGAGCTTCATTATTTCTTGTCTTCTGCTAGCTCTGCGGTTTGTTTGCTCTTGGTTCTCTAGTTCTTTTAGTTGTACTGTTAGGCTGTCAATTTGAGATCTTTCTAGCTTTTTGATGTGGGCATTTAGTGCTATAAATGTCTCTCTTAACACTGCTTTTGCTGCACCCCAGAGATTCTGGTACGTTGTCTCTTTGTTCCCATTGGTTTCAAAGAACTTCCTGATTTCTGGCTTAATTTCATTATATACCCAGGAGTCATTCAGGAGCATGTTGTTCAATTTCCATGTAGTCGTGTGGTTTTGAGTGGGCTTCTTAATCTTGAGTTCTAATTTGATTGCACTGTGGTCTTAGAGACTGTTTGTTATTATTTCAGTTCTTTTTGCATTTGATGAGGAGTGTTTTACTTCCAATTATGTGATCAATTTTCGATTAAGTGCCATGTGACACCAAAAAAAATGTATATTCTGTTGTTTTGGGTGGAGAGTTCTGTAGATATCTATCAGGTCCACTTGGTCTAGAGCTGAGTTCAAGTCTTGAATATATTTGTAAATGTTCTGTCTCAATGATCTGTGTAATATTGACAGTGGGGTATTAAAGTTTCCCACTATTATTGTGTGGGGGTCTAAGTCTCTTTGTAGGTCTTTAAGAACTTGTTTTATGAATCTGGGTGCTCCTGTATTGGGTGCATGTATATTTAGGATAGTTAGCTCTTCCTGTTGAATAGATCCATTTACCATTATGTAATGCCCTTCTTTGTCTTTTTTGACCTTTGTTGGTTTAAAGTTTTTTCTGTCAGAAACTAGGATTGCAACCCCTGTTTTTTTTTTCTGCTTTCCATTTGCTTGGTAAATTTTCCTCCATCCCTTAACTTTGAGTCTGTGTTCATCTTTGCACATGAGATATGTCTCTTGAATACAGCATACCGATGAGTCTTGTCTTTGTATCCAACTTGCCATTCTGTGTCTTTTAATTGGGGGCATTTAGCTCATTTACACTTAAGGTTAATATTGTTATGTGTGAATTTGAACCTGTCATCATGATACTGGCTGGTTAATTTTGCAGACTTGTTAATGTAGTTGTTTCATAATGTCACTGATCTGTGTACTTCAGTGTGTTTTTGTGTGTGATTTTGCTATCCATGTTTAGTACTTCCTTCAGGAGCTCTTGCAAGGCAGGCCTGGTGGTGATGAAATCCCTCGGCATTTTCTTGTCTGAAAAAGATTTTATTTCTCCTTTGCTTATGAAGATTTGTTTGGTCTGATATGAAATTCTGGGTTGGCATTTCTTTTCTTTAAGAATCTTGAATATTGGACCCCAATCTTGTCTGGCTGGTAGAGTTTCTGCTGAGAGGTCCGCTGTTAGTCTGATGGGCTTCCCTTTGTACGTGACCTGGCCTTTCTTTCTGGCTGCCGTTAACATTTTTTCCTTCATTTCAACCTTGGAGAACCTGATGATTATGTGCCTTGGGGTAGATCTTTTTGTGGAGTATCTTACTGGGGTTCTCTGGATTTCCCTGATTTGAATATTGGCTTGTCTTGTTAGGTTGGGGAAGTTCTCCTGGATGATATACTGAAGTGCGTTTTCCAACTCGGTTCCATTCTCCCCAACTCTTTCAGGTACTCCAATCAGTCATAGGTTCCATCTTTTTACATACTCCCATAGTTCTCATAGGTTTTGTTTGTTCCTTTTCGTTCTTTTTTCTCTAATTTTGTCTGCCTGCCTTATTTCAGCAAGATAGTCTTCAAGGTCTGATATCTTCTCTTCCACTTGGTTGTTTTGGCTACAGATGCTTGTGTTTGCATCATAAAGTTCTTGTGCTGTGTTTTTCAGCTTCATCAGGTCATTTATGTTCCTTTCTAAACTGGTTATTTTAGCTAATACCTCCTGTAATCTTTTATCATGCTTCTTAGCTTCTTGCGTTGGGTTAGAACATAATCCTTTGGCTCAGTGAAATTCATTATTACCCACTTTCAGAAACCTGCTTCTGTCAGTTCATCAGTCTCAGCTTCAGCCCTGTTCTGTGCCCTTACTGGAGAAGTGTTGAGATCGTTTGGAACAAAAGAGGCATTCTGGCTTTTGAAATTTTCAGTGTTTTCGCATTGGTTTTTCCTCATCTTCATGGTTTTGTCTACCTGTGATCTTTGAAGCTGTTGACCTTTGGATGTGGTTTTTGTGGGGTCTTTTGTGTTGATGTTGTTGTTGTTGTTACTTTCTGTTGGTTTTTCTTCTAACAGTCAGGCCTCTCTTCTGCAGGTCTGCTGCGGCTTGCTGGGGGTCCACTCCAGACCCTGTTCGCCTGGGTATCACCAGTGGAGTTTGCAGAACAGCAAAGATTGCTGCTTGCTCCTTCCTCCAGAAGCTTCTTCCCACAGTGGCATCAACCTGATTGATGTCAGCCGGAACTCTCCTGCATGAGGTGTCTGGCGACCCCTGATGGGAAGTCTCACCCAGTCAAGAAGCACGGGACTGGAAGGGGGGCCTCCTTACGGAGGCAGACTGACTGTCCCTTAGCAGAGCTGGTGCACTGTATTGGAGGAATAACCCTCCTTGGGATCAGCTGGTCTCTTCAGAGCCAGCAGGCAGGAAAGATTAAGTCTGCTGAACCTCGGACCATGGCCGCCGCTCCCCCGAGGTGCTCTGTCCCAGGGAGATTAGAGTTCTTGTCTGTAAGCCCCTGACTGTAGCTACTGGAATTCCTGCAGGGATGCCCTCCAGGTGAGGAGGGATGGCTTCGGGTCCCACCTAGGAAGCAGTCTGGCCACGATCTGCAACAGCCACTTTGCTGCGTTGTGGGGAATTCCACCCAGTCCAAACCTCCTAGTCTCCTTAGCACTGTCAGGGGAAAACCTCCAACTAAAGCCTCAGTAATGACGGTCGCCCCTCCCCCTGGGAACTGAGTTGTCCCAGGCGGACTCCAGACTGCTGTGCCGGCAGCGGGGATTTCAAGCCAGTGGTTCTTAGCTTGCGGGGTTTCCGTGGGAGTGGGACCCTCTGAGCGAGACCACTTGGCTCCCTGGCTACAGCCCCCTTTCCACAGAAGTGGACATTTCTCCTGCCTCACTGGAGTTCCAGGTGCTGCCGGAGTATGTAAAAATTCCTGCAGCTCAGTGCCTGCCCAAACAGCCGCCGACGGGAGCAGCTGTCATTGGTCTGCCCAGTTTTGTATTTGAGACCCAGGGCACTGGTGGTTGTAGGCTCCCGAGGGGATCTGCTGATCTGTGGATTGCAAAAATCTGTGGGAAAAGCTTAGTACCCTTGGTGGGTAGCACTGTCCCTCACCACTTCCCTTGGCTGGGGAGGGAGGTCCCCCTGCCCTGTGCAGTTCCTGGGTGAAGCAATACCCTGCTTCTTCTCGCTCTCTGTGGGTCATGCCGACCATCTAGTCAGTCCCAGTGAGATGAACTGGGTATCTCAGTTGGAAATGCAGAAATCACCCACATTCCTCGTTCCTCTCGCTGGCAGCTGCAGACCAGAGCTGCTTCTAGTCGGCAGTCTTGGCCCCTCCCCGCCGAGGTAAGTTTAATAAGTCTTCTAAATTTGTCCTTGCCATAATGATCAGTGATGATCTGTCTTTTAATAAGTTAAATGCTTTCCAGACTTCAAGACTCTCACCCACATCAAAAATAAAATTATATATCGGCCATATTACCAGGATTTTAGAATGTTGTATTTTATCCTCTAATTATAGGTCAAATAACTAAGGTAGAAAGGAGTAAAGCAACTTCCATGTATGTAGTGAGGATGTTGGGGGGTCTGGGACTAAAATTCTGCCTTGGGATTCCCAAGAGGTTGGTGATTATGATTTTTGTACTCTTAGACACAAAATAAAATAACATTCTGTTTTGTTCCTCTGCTTACCCTATTCAGTTCTCTAAACTACAAAATCTCTGCTTATCAAAATAAGTTGGATTGTCAATTTGTTGAGCTCAGCAAATGCATTTCCTGAGCCCTTGTGAGTAAAGCTCTGTGCTGGTTACACTGCGTAACTAGTGATACAGAGGATGAGTAGAGCATTCTTTCCTGAAAAGAGCTTAAGATTTCTGTGCCCAGGTCAGCTTGGGTTGCCTGTAAGTGAGAAAATTGACAGCCAACACCCACAGGCTTATTCTGATAAAATGGGAGATGATAATAAATGGTGGGGTTTTTTTCTTTTTCTATTTTCTTTTTTTTCGAGATGATGTCTTGCCACGTTCCCCAGGCTGGTCTTAACTCCTGGGCTCAGGCATTCTTCCCTCCTTGGCCTCCCACAGTGCTGGGATTACAGCGTGAGCCACACACCTGGCCTTGTGAATGGTGGTTCTGTCAAGACTGGGCTTTCAACCTCCCAAGGATTCTGGTCAAACAGCCTCAGGAGAATCTTCTGCAGAGAGTGTCTGCCTGCCAACTGTCAGAGCTGAGTGTCACAGAATCTTGGCATGGGTCTCCTCCCTCTGTTCCATTTCACAGATTACATGTTGTTAGTAGGAACATCACCAGAAGGAGCATGAGGATGTTCCTTCTAAGAACTAGGAAAGATATAATAATGCTGCTGGCTGGGCTATTTTAAAAAAGTAATCAAGGGCCTTCTCAGAAAGTGATTTTAGGAACTATAATGCATAGATGGGATCAATTATAGTGTAAGAACTGAAAAATTATTGCACTGAACAGCACCTAACAGCTTCTGGAGAAAACATATTTCCCAACTGACCCTGATGATGGACTTAAATACCAAAAAACAGAGAGAACCACTAACTTCCATTGTCTTGCAGAAACAGGAGAACCTTAATGCACTTAAAGCTGGAAAAATGTCTCTGCCTCTAAGGCCATGCAGTGAAACAGATTGCATGGTAGGTGACATAGGCAGGGGCAGAATGGAGTTTATGACAATGGCCATAAGATGATGAAAAAAATTATTTGGGGCCTTTGAAGCAGCAGATGAGCTGGCTCAGAGGAAAGTTGCACAACTGTAGAAAAACAACTTTTGCAAAATTTTCCTCCACTCAGTGGGCACTACATACTTATTCTAGGATTTGCATTCATTCTTTCACAGACTGTTTACTTATTGGCTTGGGCCTACAATGACTTTTCTGAGAGAGGTGAGGGATTAGCACAACAGCACACACACGCCTGAAAGAAATAGTGAATTTCTAATTTTCAGATTTTAGTCTCTGACCTAACCAAAGAATTGACCATTGTAGATTTTATCTATTAATAATATTAATGATGCTCACAAATATGAAGATTTAAGTACATCTTATGATAATAAGAGATGCTTTCAAAAAAAAGAAATGGTAGAACTGTAGTCCAGGGATGTTAATAAAAGTGGCAAATAACATTACATCATCTTTTTTAAAAAAGAAGATGAGGTCTCACTGTGTTGTCCAGGCTCATCTCAAACTCCCAGACTCCAGTGATCCTCCTGCCTCAGCCTCCCAAAATGCTGGAATCACAAGCTTGAGCCATCACCTTCAGCCCATATCATCTTAACATCCAATAGGAACAGGTAAAAGAAAGAAGAAGGCTGACAACCCAGTGTACAGAATCATATGTAATAATGAAACTGTTGATTGGTTATAAATCAGCAGAATTAAATCTATGTTTATACTGGCCCTTGGGTTCTGTCGTAGAGGCAGAACATGGAGAAATAAAAAACTGGAGTAGAAGATAAATTCATTTGAGTAACTAGACTTTATAGATAAACATTTGAGAAACCACCTTTAAAGCTGTTTGTGAGCCATGTTTTACATAATGACAAATGAATGCTTTTGTTTTTTTGTGACAGTCAACTGACCCACTGGGAATGTGACCTTGTGAATCACCCAGGTGAGCAAGCTTAACATGATTGGATGTAAACCTAGGTCAATAACTAAAGAGATACTCAAATGTGCTACACGTGTCAATTGTGACATAACAAACTGAAGGCCATTCATTCTCCCTTGAGGGAATGAAGCTGATAGTGCAAGGGACTGCAGATACTACTGCAGAATCAGGGTCCTGATGCTCACATACTGAAGTGAGTGGACTCCTACTTCAGATGTGTAATAGGATCTACTGTCTCCTAAGGCTGAGTATCCCACAAAGAAATCCCCTCAGCCCAACATTATTAGTTATTTTAAAGCTTTTGGTCTCATTTTATAATAGATCACATCAGAAATAAGACTAGTCAGGATCAGGTACAAACTCATGATAACTTGATAGATATATCATTGAAGACCATCCCAAAGTCTCTGATACTACATAATGCTGGGATACATTATTGAATACTAAATTTTAAAATAAGGGATAACATTGCAGATAAACAGACACGCACATGGGAAGCCTCATCAACTGCATGAGCACTCTTAAGGAAAACCTATTGATGAACATACAGAACATTTCACATGCATTGGTCCACAAGGTACACACTCTGCCCAGCCTGAAAACTGAATATAGGTTGGGACGTTCCTCTTCCTTGGGCTGATGATAAAGCTCCAAGTAAAATGAAAAAGATTCTTTTCACCTGGTAAATACGCAGGACCCCCCCCCGAAAGATATTGTCACTGCCAAATGTAACTTCAGTCTGAAAAGCATTTGTTTCTAGCAGGATACAACGTCAATATACAAAAATCAATTCTATTTTATGTAATTCCAATGCACAATTGAAATGTAAAAAGCAATACCACTTACAATAGTGTCAAATGTATAAAATGCATAGGGATAAATCTGACTGCAAATTATAAAATGTTTCACAGAGAACATAATGAATACCTAAAAACTAGAGAGAAATTCTTTGTTCATGGGTCAAGAGACTTAATATTGTTGAGGTGTTACTTTTCCCCAATCTGATCTATAAATTCAATGCAATTCCACTCAAAATCTCAGCGAGCATCTTTGGTAGAAAGTGATCAGCTGATTCCAAAATTAATATGAACTAGCATAATCAAAATGCTACTAAAATGAAGAACAAACTTGGAGGACTAGCTCTACCTGATTTAAAGAACTATTATAAAGTTATAGTAATCAAAACAGAATGGTGTTGGGATATGATCTCACACCTGTAATCCTAGCACTTTGGGAGGCCGAGGTGGGTGGATTGCCTGAACTCAGGAGTTCGAGACCAGCCTGGGCAACATGGTGAAACCTCGTCTCTACTAAAAGCACAAAAACTTAGCCAGGCATGGTGATGCACTCCTGTAATTCCAACTACTTGGGAGGCTGAGGCACAAGAATCACTTGAACCCAGGAAGTGATCACACCACTTCACTCCAGCCTGAGTGACAGAATGAGGCTCTGTCTCAAAAAAAAAAAAAAAAAAAAGAAAAGAAAAGAAAAAAAGATTGATAAAATAGGAACAAAATACACAGTCCAAAAATAAACCAATGCATATATGGATAAAAAGATATTTGACAAACATGAAAAAGAAAAATATTTAAAAATGTATATACTTTCAACAAATGGTAGAGGATTTTCTTTTAACAAATGGGTATGACATCTATATGTGTATAAAAATAAGTAAAAAATCAGATTCGTGTGTCACTCCATATATAAAAATTAGTGTGTACCAGAGGCTGGGAATGAGAGTGGGGAGAGGGTAGAAGTTGGTTAATGGGTACAAAAATACAGTTAGGTTGAAGGAGTAAGTTCTAGTATTCAATAGGGTAGCAGGGAGACTACTGTTAACAATAATTTGTTGTATATTTTTAAAAATAGCTATAATAATTGGAGTGTGTGTAACACAAAGAAAAGATAAAAGTTTGAGGTGATAGATATCCTAATTACCCTGATTTGGTCATTACACATTATACACATTTATCAAATTATCACACATACCCCCAAAAGATGTACAACTACTATACATCAATTAAAATATGAATGAAAAGTAGATCATGAACACATTTATGATGATTGAAATCACATCAAGTATTTTTTCTGAGCACAATAGTAAGAAACTAAAAATCTACAGAAGGAAAACTGGAAAATTTCACATATACATGGAAATTAAATAACATGCTTTTGAACAGCTGATGGGTCAAAGAACAAATCAAAAGGGAAATTTAAAATATCTTGAGACAAACAAGAATGAAAACAAACATAATGGAACCTCCGGAAACAGCAAAAGCAGCTCTAAGAGGCAAGTTTGTAATGATAAATGCCTATATTGGCTGGGCACAGTGGCTCATGCATGTAATCCCAGCACTTTGGGAGGCCAAGGTAGGCACATCACTTGAGGTCAGGAGTTCAAGACCACCCTCACCAACATGGTGAAACCCCATCTCTACCAAAATGTACAAAAATTAGCCCAGCATGGTGGCACGCACGTGTAATCCCAGCTACTCAGGGAGGCTGAGGCAGGAGAATTGCTTGAACCAAGGAGGTAGAAGTTGCAGTGAGCCAAGATTGTGCCACTGCACTCCAGCCTGTGCAATGGAGTGAGACCCTGGGAAGGAAGGAAAGGAAGGAAGGAAGGAAGGGAGGGAGGGAGGGAGGGAGAGAGGGAGGGAGGGGAGGGGAGGAGAGGGAGGGCAGGGGAGGGGAGGGGAGGGGAGGGAGAGAAAGAGAAAGGGAGAAAAAAGAAAGAAAGAAAGAGAAAAAGGAAGGAAGGAAGGAAGAGACCCACATTAAGAAAAAAGGTCTCTAATAAGTAACCTAACATTATACCTCAAATAACTAGGAAAAGAATGAAATAAAGTTATCAAAAGGAAGGAAATAATAAAAATCAAAGCAGGAGCAACTCAACCAAAGAATAGAAAAACTAGAAAAATTGACAAAACTGAGTTAATTTTTTGAAAAAATAAACAAAATTGACAAACTTTTAACTAGACTAAGAAAAAAAGAGAAGAGTCAAATAAATAGCATCAGAAATGAAGTGGAGGTATTTCAGCAGATGTGTCAGAAATAAAAAGTATCATAAGGAACTATTATGAGCAACTATATAGCAACAAATTGGATAACCTAGAGAAAATAGATAAATTCCTAGACACATACAACCTACCCAGATTCAATCAAAAAATAATAGAAAGCCTGAACAGACCAATAACAAATAAAAAGATTGAAGCAGTAACTATAAACCTCCCAAAAAAAACAAAAGCCAGGACCAGGACTCAGGACCAAATGGCTTCACAGTTGAACTCTACTAAAAATTAAAAAAAGAATTAATGCATTTCTTCTTAAGCTCTTCTCAAAGATAGAAGTAGAGAGAATACTTCCAAAATCATTTTATGAGGCCAGCATTACTCTGCCAAAGACACCAGAAGAAAATAAAACTACAGGCTAATATCTCTGATGAACATAGATGCAAAATTCCTCAGTAAAATACTACCAACCCAAATTCAACAACACATCAAAAAGGATATATGTCTTAACCAAGTGGAGCTTATCCCTGGGCTGTAAGTTTGGTGTAGTATATGCAAATCAATGTGATACAGAATGAAAGATGAAAACCACATGATCACCTCAGTAGCTCCAGAGAAAGCAGATGACAAACCTCAACATCCTTTCATGAGAAAAACTCTCAACAAATAAGGCATAGATGAAAATTTCTTCAACATCATAAAGGCCACTTATGAGAAGCCCACAGTTAACATGATACTCAATCAAGAAAAACTGAAAGCTTTTCCTGTAAGATCCAGTCCAAGTCAAGGATTCCCACTCTCACCACTTCCATTCAACATGGTACTGGAAGTACTAGCAAAAGCAACCAGGAAAGAAAAAGAAATTAAAAGATTCAAATTGGAAAGGAAGAAATGAAATTATCACTGTTTGCAGATAATATGATCCTATATGTAGAAACCTCTAAAGACTCTGCAAGAAAACCCTGTTAGAACTAATAAATGAATTCAGTAAAGTTGTAGGATATAAAATCAACTAATAAAAATCAGTTGCATTTCTGTACACCAATAATGACCTATTCAATAAAAAATTTTAAATCCTATTTATGATAATATTAAAAAGAATAAAATCAGCAATAAGTTTAACCAAGGAGGCAAAGATCTATACACTGAAAATTATAAAATGTTGTTAAAAGAAATTGAAGGTACAAATAAATGGAAAGGAATCCCATGTTTATGGTATGGAAGAATAAATATTGTTAAAATGTTCATACTGCCCTAAAGTGATCTACAAATTCAAGGCAGTCCCTATCAAAATTCCAATAGCATTTTTCACAGAAATAGAAAAAAAACTCCAAATTTGTATGGATCTGCCAAAAAACCAGAATAGACACAGCAGTCCTGAGGAAGAAAAGCAGAGTTGAAGGGATCATACTAGCTAGTTTCAAATTATATTACAAAGTTATAGTAATCAAAACTGTATGGGACTGGCATTAAAATAGACACATAGACCAGGAACAGAATAGATAGCCCAGAAATAAACCCAAGTACATACAGTCAACTACTTTTTGACCATGCCCCCAATAACATACAATGAGGAAAGGATAGTCTCTTCAATAAATGGTGTTGGGAAAACTGGATATCCACATGCAAAAGAATGAAATTGGACTCATATACAAAATACACAAAAATCAACTCAAAATGGATTAAATACTTATGTGTAAGACAAAATCATAAAACTCCAAGAAGAAAACAAAGGGGAAAGGCTCCTTGACATTGGTCTTGGCAATGACTTTTGTGGGGTGGGGGTTGGGGGTGCAGGGGGATAGGACACCAAAAGCAATAACAAACAAATGGGACCAGCTGGGCATGGTGGCTCACACCTGTAATCCCAGCACTTTGGAAGGCCGAGGCGGGTGGATCACCTGAGGTCAGGAGGATGAGACCAGCCTGGCCAATATGACGAAGGCCCATCTCTACTGAAAATACAAAAAAATTAGCCAGGCATGGTGGTGGGAGCCTGTAATCCTAGCTATTCGGGAGGCTGAAGCAGGAGAATCGCTTGAACCCGGAAAGTGGAGGTAGCAGTGAGCCAAGATTGCACCACTGCACTCCAGCCTGGGCAACAAGAGCAAAACTCCGCCAAAAAAAAAAAAAAAAAAAGGACCACATCAAACCAAATAGCTTCTGCACAGCAAAGGCAACAATCAACAACATGAAAAGGCAGCCTATGGATTTGGAGAAAATATTTGCAAGCCATATATCTGTTAAGGAGTTTCTATCCAAAATATAAGGAACTCATAGAACTCAATCACCAAATAAATAAAAAATAGACAAAGGACCTGAATAGATATTTCTCCAAAGAGAGCAAACAGATGGCCAGCACATATATGAAAAGTTGCTCAATATCACTAATCATCAGGGAAATGCCAGTCAAAATCACAGTGAGATATCACCTCACACTTGTTAGGTTGGCAATTGTATAAAAGACAAAGAGAAGTGTTGGCAAGGGTGTGTAGAAAAGGAAACACTTGTACACTGGTGGAAATGTAAACTGGTACATTCCTTATGGAGAAGAGCATGGAGTTTTCTCAAAAAGTTAAAAATATGACCCAGCAATCCCTCTTCTGAGTATATATCCAAAAGAAATGAGATCAGCACCTACTAGAGATACCTGCACTCTCATGTCCATTGCAGCATTACTTACAATAGCCAAGATATGGAAACAACTTAAATGTCCATCACAAATGGTGTTTTTACTTACATGTAAGAATGTGCAGTATTTGGTTTTCTGTTTCTGCATTAATTCGCCTAGGAGCATGGTATGTTTTTCTATATGTTTGTCTTGTCTCTGATTTCCTTCCACAGTGTTTTGGAATCCTTGTTGTAGAGATCTTTCACTTCCCTGGTTAGCTGTATTCCTAGGCATTTTATTCTCTTTGTGGCTATTGTGAATGGGGTTGCATCCCTGATTTGGCTCTCAGCTTGGATGTTACTGATGTATACAAATGCTACTACTTTTGTACATTGATTTTATATCCTGAAACTTTACTGAAGTTGCTTAGCAGTTCTAGCCTTTGGGGAAAGACATTCAGTCAGCTACATTTGACCATGCTCCCAATAACACACAATGAAGAAAGGATAGTCTTGGGCAAAAAAAATGGAGTGTTCTAGATATAGAATTAAATCATCAGCAAAGAGACATAGTTTGACTTCCTCTGTTTGTATTTCAATGCCTTTTATTTCTTTCATTTGCCTGATTGCTCTGGCTAGGACTTCCAGTACCATGTTGCATAGGAATGGTAAGAGTGGGCATTCTTGTAGAAGTTAGAAAGAGCTCAAATGAACAATCTATGAATCAACAACTCTGTGCTGAAATAAAAAAAGAAAAAAATTAACAACCTAACATTAGACCAAGGGGAACTAGAAAAAGAAGAGCAAACCAACCCCAAAGCTAGCAGAAGAAAAGAAAACCAAAATCAGAGCTGAACTGAATAAAATTGAGATGTGAAAATGCATACAACAGCTCAACAAATCCAGAAAAAAAAAAAAACTGGAAGAAATGGGTGAATTCCTGGAAACGTACATTCTCCCAAGATTGAACCAGAAAAAAGCTGAAATCCTGGAACAGACCATAAGGAGTTCTAAATTGAATTGGTAATAAAAAACCAACCAACCAGAAAAAGGCCCAGAACAGGTGGATTCATTGCTGAATTCTTATATAATAAAGAGCTGGTAACAATTCTACTGAAATTATTCCAAACAACTGAGGAGGAAGGACTCTACCCTAACTCCTATCAGGAGGCCAGCCTCATTCTGATACCAAAACCTGGCAGAGACACACAACATTAAAAAAAAACTTCAAGCCAATATGCCTGATGAACATAGAGACACAAAACTCCTCAACAAAATACTAGCAAATCCAACCCAGCAGCACACCAAAAGCCAATGCACCATGAAGAAGTAGGCTTCATTCCTGGGATGCAAGGTTGGTTCAACATATGTTATGTGATTCATCACGTAAATTGAACTAAAACTGAAAACAACATGATTATCTCAATAGATGCAGAAAAGGCTTTTGATAAAATTCAACATCCCTTCATGTTAAAACTCCCAACAAACTAGACACCAAAGGAACATACCTCAAAATAATAAGTGCTATCTATGACAAACCCACAGCCAACATCATACGGAATGGGCAAAAGCTGGAAGCATTTCCCCTAAGAACTGGTAAAAGAACAAAACAATAAATTACGCTTCAATAATACTTTTAAAAAATTGCTCTTCAAAGACATTGGTAAGAGAATGAAAAGACAAGCCACACTTAGGTAGAAAATATTTGGAAATTATGTATCCGATAGAGGACCTCTGTCTGCAACACTAAGGGAACTCTCAAAATTTATTAATAAACAGGCAATCAAATTTTCAAATGAATAAAAGATTTGTAGAGATATTCCACAAGGAAGATATATGGAAGGCACATAACAATATGACAAGATATTCAATATCATTAGTCACTAGGAAAATGCAAATTTAAACCACTGTATACCAAGTAAAATGACTGAAGTTAAAAGAATCACCGTTCCACATATTGGCAAAGATATATGGAAACAAAAACACTCATACACTGTTGATGGGAATGTGAAATTTTACAAGCATGTTATAAAACAGTTTGGCAGCTTCTTAAAATAGTAAACCTGTACGTATCATATGATACTGCTATTTCACTCAAATGAAAGGAAAGGATATGTCCATACAAATTCGTTGATAAAAGCTTTAGTTTTAAAACCAGAGCCATCCAAATCTATGAACAGGTGAATAAATAAAATAAACTGTGATATAACCATCACATGGAATATTAGCAATATAGCAGAGTGATCTATTAATACACATGACAACAAAGCTACATCTCAAAATAATTATTCTGAATTAAAAAATGAAACCAAAATAATGTACATAGTATATAATTCTATTTATAGAAAACTTGAGAAAATTTAAATTAATCTATTATGACAGAAAGCCAACCAGTGGTTGTCTGAGGTGTGGGGAGAAAGGTGAGGGAGGAATTACTACGTAAACAAGGACACTTTGGAAGTGGTAGATATATCCACTATCTTTTTTGTTTGTTTGTTTTTTGACACAGGGTCTGGTTCTATCACCCAGACTGGAGTGCAGTGGCACACTCTTGGCTCACTGCAACCTCTGTCTCCTGGGCTCAAGCCATCCTCCCAACTCAGCCTCCCAAGTAGCTGGGACTACAAGCACATGCCGCCACGCCTGGCTAATTTTTGTATATTTTTTAGACACAGGGTTTCACTACGTTTCCCAGGCTGGTCTTGAACTCTGAGCTCAAGCAATCCACCTGCCTTGGCCTCCCAAAGTGCTGGGATTACAGGCATGAGCCACCATGCCCGGCCTGTATTTACTAATCCTGATTGCAGATGTGTACTATGCTCAAACTTTTTAAATTATACACTTTAATTATGTGCAGTTTTTTGCATGTAAGTTATATATCAATATAATTGCTAAAAGTTTAAAACATTATTTTAAAACTGCCATAGCTTGATTTAATACATCTTTTTATATTTTAAAAAACTGATAAAATTCTGTATATTATCAGGACAAAAGAGAAAAAGCATATGATTACCCTGACATACACAGAAAAAGCGTTTGGCAAATTGAAAACTTTTTTCATCATTAACAAAAACAAACTCTCAACTTGGTAAGAACAGAAGGCAACACTTCCAACCCTGCAAGGGCAGATTTGAAAAACCCACAGGTAACATTAATAAGATTGAATGCTTTCTATTAAATAGCGAAAAAGGTAGAATATCTGCTGTTACTCTTTCAATCCAGCATTAAACTAGAGATGTTATCCGATGCAATAAAGTAAGAACATAAATAAACAGAAACATTGAAAAGATTGAAAAGAAAGAATTGAAGCTGTCTAGAATTGAAGCTGTCTTTATTCACGGATCATGATTATGTATGTAAACAATTCCAGAAATCTACAAAAATATACCAAAACTATTAAGCGAGTTTGGCAATGTTGCAGAATATAAGTTCAATATAAATAGTCTGTTGTATTTCTGTATATTAGCAATGAGTGTTTGGAAAATAAAATAAAAATACAATTTCATTTAAAGTAACATCTAAATACGTGATGTGCTTAGAAATAAATTCAAGAAAATTTATGTAAGGCCAGTACACTGAAAACTACAAAACATTGCTTTGAGAAATTAGATATATATATAAACAAACTAAATTGGTGGGGAGATAAACCTTGTCACGGATCAGAAGAGCTGTTATAGTTAAAAAGTCAGTTCTTCCCAAATTGATCTCCAGATGCAATGCAATTCTAACAAAAAATTCCAACAGGCAATTTGGTAGACATTTACAAGCTGATTTATATGAAAATGTCAGTGATCAAGAATAATAAGAGAGCAATATTATAAAAGAACAATGGTGAATGAATTCACTACCTATTTCCAGATTTACTATACAGCTATGGAAATCAAGACCATGTGTATTGTTGAAAAAAATAGAACATATATCAATGGAAGAGAAAAGAGAACTCAGAAATAGACCCTTACATATATGTCTAATAAATTATTCTTAGACGTGAATATAGTTATATGTATATATACATAATCACCTGTTTGATGATTTCTATCTTTATCTCCAAAACAGGGAACATTAAGAGAACATAAAAAGAAGCCACAATATAGGAGAAATTATATTTATCTCCAACAAAAGATTTTTTAATGGTATATATATAATGCAGTCTGATAAGATAAACAGCACAATGAAACAATTTCTCAAAAGACTTGAATAGATACTTCAGAAAAGAAGATATATGAAGGGTCAATTTGCAAATGAAATGATGCTCAACTCTTTAGTCATCAGGGAGATCAATCAATACAATGCTGAGATACCATTACATGTCCATGAGAATGGCTAAAATTAAAAAGACTGAAAATACCACATGTTGGTGAGGATATAAAGTACTTGGAAGTCCTATACTTGTGGAAATGAAAAATGGTACAACTCCTTTGAAAATCTGGCTAACAGTTTCTTATAAGACTAAACATGTACAGATCAAATGGACAGTCCTTGCACTCCTAGGAATTTACACTCTATGTCCACACAATGATCTGTATGTGGATGCTCATGATACTTTATGCATTATAGCCCAAACCTAGAATGACACAAATGTCCAATAACAAGTGAATGTATAAACAAACATGGTGTAGCCACACAAAGGAATACTACTCAGCAATTACAAGGCATTAACTGTTGACGAAAATGCTCACATGGATGGATTTTCAAATTAATATGATGCATGAAAGAAGGCAGATGCAAAAGAACACAGGTATAATTTCATTTATAGAAAATGGTGAAAAAGGCACTGCCAGAAAGTGACAGTGGCTCCTTGAACCTGAGGGTTGAAATACTGATTAACTGCAAAGGGTTACAAGAAATTTTGGGCTTATGGAAATTCCTATATCTTGATTATGGCAGTAGTTCCATTAGTGTATACATTTGTGAACATGCATTGGATTACATAGTTTAAAGTGGTGCAGTCTATTGTACTTAATAAATACCTTTATAAAGTTTATTTAATCATCTTAATTTCTCCATACTAGCAATTAGCTGCTAGAAAATGAAATTCAATAAAACATAATAGAGATTAATATCCAAAATCATTACATATTTAAGAATACATATAATGAAGCAGGTACAAAGCCCCTGAAAGCTATTGGTGAGAGAAATTAAAGAAGACTAAATAGAGAAATATATATTACATTCATGGATTGGAAGATTCAATTTTGTTAAGATATTACATCAACATAATTCTGACTAATGTTTCCAGTAGGAATTTTTAGAGAAATGTAAAAGCTAATTTCAAAATGTATTTGAAAATCAAAAAAGCTAGAACAGGCAAGTTGGTCTTGAAGAAGCAGTAAGTTGTAGGAGTTATTCTGCTGGATTTCAAAACTCATTTAGAGCTACAATAATTTAAAAACTATAGTACTAGTGTAAGTATATAGAAGTATATCAAGATAAAAAGAATACAGACTCAAACATTATGCTCACATATATACAGTTATTTAAAGTTTTTAAAAACAAACACGCCAGTGCCTCTCATTGGGGAAATGAAAGACTTTTCAATAAAAAGTTCTTGAGTGAAAGAAGTTTAAGACCAGCCTGAGCAACACAGCAAGACCTTGTCTCTACAAAAAATTAAAAAAAAAAAAAAAGCCAGAAATGGTGATGTGTGCCTAGAGTTCGAACTACTTGGAAAGCTGAGGCAGGAGGATCACTTGTGCCCAGGATTTGGGTATGCAGTGAGCACTCCAGCCTAGATGACAGAACGAGAACCTGTCTCAAAAAAAAAAAAAAAAAAAAGCATCTCACACTCATAGTAAGTGGCCAGAACATAATGCTGACTGCATGTTGTGAGGAAATGTATTAAATGAAACAAATTGAATTCAAGAAGGTTTTTTGTTTGTTTGTTTGTTTTGTTTTTTAATGTGTGTTTGTTTGTTTGTTTTGCAGAAATGAGGTACAGGGGAGAGAAACACCTACTTGGAAAGAACCACACAACTGAATTGGAAAATGTGGAAAGGGGATTGGGGGAGGGGACTCTTTCTGAGATCTGGCTCCAGTACTAACAGCAAAGGGAACTTGGGCAAGTTACAGACTCTCTGTGCCTTGGTTTTGTCATCAGCAAAACAGAATCATCCCATAAACTGTAAGGTCCGTGGTATCAGAGGGTCCCCAGTCTGACTGCACATCTAAGTCGTTAACAAACACATTCCAGGCCCCAACTGAGCGCACTGAATCAGAATCCCTGCAAGGAGGACAATGATCTTGTATTTGCACTGACCTTCCAGATGTTTCTTACTCTGATCAACTTGGGGGTAGGAACCATTGAGCTGCATCACATCATTCCAAAGCCCAAACACAGAAGCAGAACAAGAATATATTCAATGCATTCTCTAAAGTGGAGAAAACTGTTGAGGGAACCTAGAAGTGAAGGAAACCTGGCTTGCTGGGCTCCATCTTAACTTTATCCTGAGTACAGCAGAGACAGGAGCACTTTGGGACACATGCCTGAGGTAGTGACAGTCCAACATTGAAACAGTGGAAGCCCTAGTTTCAAATTCAAACTTGCTTTGAGTAGAAATTAAGTTTACATCTTTTTGCATAGCAACAGGGCCAGTTTTCTCCAAGCTGCTCAATTTACAAGAAAAGAAATCATACGGCTAAGAATTCAAACTTCAGCAGACATGGGTAAACAAGGAACTCTTACAAATCTATTCTAGCAACCTAACAAGAAACCAGAAATTTAGCAAGTTCTTTCCCGCTCAGGACAATTGTGTTCACTAGATCAGAGGCACTGAGACATGAAGAAAAGACCCGCTAAAAAGGGAAAGCCTTCCTTCCTGCCCTAGGACATCCCTGCCAACTTCAGGGAGGTGGGAACCCAGCTGCGCTCTCTACAGTATGGGTTACTTTTGTGTCTGGAAGGTGTCTGACATCCTGAGACCTGGACCCATTTCAAGGAGCTTTGGGAAGAGCCCAGATCACTGATGGAATTGGACAGTGCGTGGAAATGGTTCAGCAGGACGAGGGTAAGTGCAGGATCACGGCCAGGTCATTCTGAGAGACAATGAGTGGCACTGATGGGGTCAGACAAAGATTAAAAACAAAAGTTTGTGCTTCGACTTCAGAAACTCAAATCAATAACTAATTTGCTCTTATAAGTAATAAGCATTTTTCTATCTACATGAGAATTTAATCTCAAAACAGAAATCAGAAAAAATATCAAGTCCAGGGCATAAAACCTAAACCAGTGCTTAGATTATTCATTTTAAATAGAGCTAAGAGTAAAATCTTCTCCATAAAATACATATTGTGTCTATACATAAAATATATGTTGTATCTGAGTTCAGGGTGTGATGAGTGTGACCATGGACTACCCAGCATTCATGTGGAAGTGAAGGAAGAGGACTGGATCAATCCCAGCGGAAAGCATGCCTCTCAGCAGCCCACACCATCCTCCACCTACACTGTGTAATGACAGTGCTTTGAGATGTAGCAAAGGCTGTAAATTTATCTATTCTCTGGTGTCTCAGAGACCTGACATTCTGTGTCAGAAAGAAAAGTTATAAAAAGGCAAAAGTCTTAATGAGAATCATTGGTACTCAATAGAATAGTGAATTAAATACAGCCAGGGGAAGACCCAAGTCTCATATTTCTCTTGTATATTCCAAAGTTCCAGTGAAATTCCAGGTAATAGAGGTTATTTCCCACACTGTTAAAGCAAGGTTGCAGACACTTCTGAATTTCGGTCCCAATGCTGAAGGAGGGCACACCTCTGTCCTGGAAAATGACACAGGAATGAATGCTATTCCCATGACTCATTCTGGTCATTCTTCCAGCATCACAGAAACCAAAAAATAGAAATATAGCCAAATACATGATTTGCTATCCCTCTTCTTCAGGTTTCTTACCTGTTTCTTATGGATAATAACATTGCCTTAAGGATTATGATGAAAATATGATATCCAAGTATGTGTACAGTTTTGAACAAAATGCCTAGTATGAATTGGTCAATAAATAATTATTTTTATTTATTGAATTACATGGATTCTATAAATAATTACTGAATAATTATTGTGATTCCTTTTATTGGCAGTGCTCAAAATGCATCCCTGTGTGACCTCAAGTAAACCAGTAACTTTGTGAACCTGCAGTTTTATCATTTTTAAAGTGAAGAAACTAGACAGATTTTCATTCTGACACAGAATGTCAGGTCTTTGAGACACCAGAGAACAGATAAATTTATAGCCTTTGCTACATCTCAAAGCACTGTCACTACACAGTGTAGGTGGAGGATGGTGCGGGCTGCTGAGAGGTGCGCTTTCCACTGGGATTGATCCAGTCCTCCTCCTTCACTTCCACATGAATGCTGCGTAGCCCGTGGTCACACTCATCACACCCTCAACTCAGGCAAGTCCAGCAGCCACACTTAGGAGACCTGGGCTACAGGACAATCTCCCAAGTCCTAGCCTCACAAGACCTAGTTGAAGATGGAAGCTGAGAAAGTGAGGAGGCGGTTTGGGGGAGCACACTCCCCTACTCATCCCTCTCATCTCAAACTCACCTTCTACTGCACAGGAACACTGAGGATCACCAACCACCCGTGACCATGAGCTTGATCTTGCCAGGTTCGGTTAGTGGAATGCAACCACACATCAACAGTGTTAGAGCAAATATATATATATATATATATATATATATATATATATATATATATCTCCAACAATATTCCCTGAGAAGCGTTCAATGCCCTGTTCTTTTCAATATATGGGAAAACTAAAAACAACAAAATACCATCAGGTTTACAAGACTTCCCAAGATAGATGGTCACACATGTTTTCAGGGGATATATACAAATGATTTTGATCACTTGATACCTTGAAAAGAGCTATTTTGGGACGAGAATGATATTCGTAAGTGACAAGTATGAAACGAGTGTTCAGTGACATTAAAAAAGCAAACCGACCCACACATAGAGGAAGAGCTTTGGACGTAGGGATGTGAAACTGGTCTTAAGTGTAATGAAAAGCCAAGATGCTGCCCCAGTAAGAGAAAAGAAATCAACATAACAATGGGATGCAGCAAGAATACTGAGACAGGGTAGAAAATCTTTTTTAAAAGTGAATTATTCCTTCATTTTCAGTCGATACAGAAAAAACTGCAGAAGACCCAGAGGGATATCATAGCAGACTAAAAGTTTGCTATCTTTCACTTGTGGAAAAGCATTAAGATCATTTTACCTTAAAAAGAAGGTGAGGTGACTTGATGACTACCACTAAGAAAATATAACCTTCTGGAAAACTATCCCTACCTTGATGATTTTATACACACAAGAGATGAACAATGAGGAATATGCTTATATGTATTGAGAAAGAGGTGGGCCTGTAGCATTGTCACAAGGGTGCACAAATACTGAGAGTGACTGCTGAAGAAATGGTCCCCATCAGTGACCCTCAGGTGAGACCAGGGGGCCTAGTGTTTCAGCACAGCCTGGGCAATTGGAATGCAGGGTTTCTAAGATTCCATGACACCCCCACCTTCTAATTCTGTTATTGCAACTGCAGACCGTTACCTGGTACGCTGGCTGCTACCTCCCTCACTCTTGTCAGAGTCGGAGCTACAGGCAGTGCCTTCAGCTCTGAGCTCAGGCATCCCGGTCCCTGTTTTTGCGGTTAAGGACTCTAAAGTGTTGTGTCGTGTTCATCAACTTTTTCTCAACCGTAAGTTAACAATTCCAGTAATTGTCATCTCTCAGTCCTGATTAAACCTAATTGATTTCACTAGTTTTTGACCCATCATGTGTCTGGGTTTCTTCTCCCCAGTCCCTGGCTCTACCTCTTCTGCCACAAACGTCAGCATGGTGGTATCTGCCGACCCTTTGTCCAGCGAGAGGGCAGAGATGAACATCCTAGAAATCAACCAGGAATTGCGCTCGCAGCTGGCAGAGAGCAATCAGCAGTTCCGAGACCTCAAAGAGAAATTCCTTATAACTCAAGCTACTGCCTACTCCCTGGCCAACCAGCTGAAGAAATACAGTAAGTTCTATAGATTCACAATGATGAACGTGATGAATGATCACCTGTGTTCTGAGAAACTGAACGGTCTTTTCATCGAAATTAATTTCATCCTTCCCATACTTCTAGGAAAATAGAAGTGGATGTTTTAACCTCATTTTGTTAAACATGGAAAACAGAGGCACAAAGTATTTAGCAACTTTTCCACATTGGCAGTCTGGTGTGAGGTGGGACTAGACTTAAAATCCTACTTATTGTCTTCTGACACAGGCACAGAACCACCTGTTTTCCTCAGTAAGAGGCTAAATCATGTTTATGAGAATCCTCTCTGTACCATATAAGATTCTACAGACAAGTAACATCTAGTCTGTTGGTCTAAATGTCTGGGACTAATGAACTTCCATTCAGTTCAAGCTTCTTTGAGGCCCAATAGGCAAAGCTTCATCCAGAGGACCCTGGGGGAAACATGGCAACTGTACAGAGTACCCACTCTAAGGAGCTTAAAGAGGAGACTGCCCCTAACAGAAACTGTGATATCTGTGACACCCTTCAAAGCAGGGAGTGTCCCAGTGAGAGGGAAGTGCTGCTTCCTGGGGCACAGGCTCTTATTCCTGAAGAGGAAGAAAGATGGCACATGAGACATTGTAGAGGTAGCAGTGTAGTGTGCAGAGCAGGGACCCTGGGCCAGTCTCCTGGGCTCCATCCAAGTTGCCTATCTTCTCTGTGCCTCAGTTTCCTCATCTGCTCATTGAGTACTATAATAATACCTACCTCTGTAAATTACTGCAATGAATTACATGACCTATTTCTTGTAAATTTCCTAGAACAGTTCTTGGAACAGAGTAAACACTATCTATTAGTTCTTCATTCTACTATTTCTAACTTAATTCAAACTTTATTAGTATTTGGGCATATTTCTACTATAGCCTCACGGTCTTGTGCCTCATATTTTATGCAATTATATCCAGATATGATTTTTTAAATGTTTGACATATTCGCACTTGAAATTCCCAGTACAAGGGAAACTTTGGGTCCCATAGTCCTAGGGCCTTCCTGACTGTATAGAAAATCACTACTTCATGCACCAGTGCAGTGTTTTACAGGAGAGGCCGCAAGGCTTGGGAAAGTGGCCCAGGATTCAGAATCAGACCTCAGGGGCTGTGAATTCTGACTCCGCCTTCTTCCAGGTGAATCATCTTGTCAAGTTACTTGATGTGCCCTTGTGTTTCTTTCTCCCCATCCCTGAGTTGGGGAGTATCAGATGCCAGAAAGTTGGGAGGTTGATAAATAAAGATGTGGAAATGCCTGCCTGGAGCCTGGTACTGGAGCTGCTTTCGTCCTTGGGATGGATGCTGCCGCCTGCCCTATAGACAGTGACCCCAGCAGCATGTCCCACCTTCCACTGAGGCAGGCGTGTCTGTCTTTTCTCAGAGTGTGAAGAGTACAAAGACATCATAGACTCTGTGCTGAGGGATGAACTGCAGTCCATGGAGAAGCTGGCAGAGAAGCTCAGGCAAGCTGAGGAGCTCAGGTGAGCGGGCCCCATTGGGGGCAGGCAGATGGGCAGGGGTGTGAATCTCTGAAGTGCAGCAACTCAGCTGGGAGAACTAAGAGCTGAGCTGGGCCAGGACAACGGCAGGCATTTACATGGCAGGCACGTGTCACACAAATATTTATAAAACAGAGAACAGTCATCTTAGTAAGTTATGGGTTGTAGTTGTTTCTTAAGCCTTGTTTTCTCTTCTTAAAACCACTGATTGTTGAGGTAAAATTTGCATAACACAAAATAAACCAAAAAAAGTGAACCACTCAGAAGCATTTAGGATACTCAGAATGGTGTGCGATCACCACCACCTTTACTCTTAGTCAGAATCACCTCTTGACTGACTGTGGCGTTTCATTTGTTCAATCAATATTGCCTTCTTAACACTGTCATTCTTTTCTTCTTTCATCTTTCCAATTCACCCCATCTGCACCTGGCCACATTTCTGTGCATGGCTTTGTATCTAGTCACTGCAAGATGCGCTATGTGAATTTTCACATAGAGATGCCCATGGCCAAAGTGAGGAACTGAAAGGACATCCTTGTGGAACTGATTTAGGAAGACACTAACTTTTGTTTACAGAAGAAAAAGATGAATGGAACATCTGCGAGGATATTACAGAAGCACTCTCTCATATATCAGAAGGCTGTGTGTGTGTGTGTTTGTATATATATGTGTGTGTATGTTTGTATATATGTATGTGTGTGTGTGTGTGTGTGTGTATATATATATATATATATTCTTCTTTCTCTTGGCCACAGACATTTCCCCAAACATGTTCTGACCTTCTGCTTGGAGGTCTCCTTGAGGACATTCTCACAGAAACCTCTGTTGCGGTATTAGAACTGATCACTCATCCCTTTCCATTATTAAATGTTCTCTACTATCTCACCTTAGGCAGTATAAAGCCCTGGTTCACTCTCAGGCAAAAGAGCTGACCCAGTTACGGGAGAAGTTACGGGAAGGGAGAGATGCCTCCCGCTGGCTGAACAAGCATCTGAAAACCCTCCTCACTCCTGATGACCCTGACAAGTCCCAGGGTCAGGACCTCCGAGAGCAGCTGGCTGAGGGGCACAGGCTGGCAGAGCACCTTGTTCACAAGCTGAGCCCAGGTAAGGTGGCCATGGGCCCTGATGACACACAGCTTCAGGCTTATGAAAGTCCCCAGACCTCCACACCTCCACAATGACAATTGTATGGGTAGTGTTTCTTTCCAGTAAACTTTTGTGGCCACGACATGATCAGAATTTCTTGGGTGGGAGCAGAGATGGGAAACCCATGGGGTGGAGGTTACAGAATGGCAAATGTATCCTCCTTTCTTGATGGAATGTGGTCTTTAGAGCAAGAGGCAACATCCGTCCAGTTTTAAAGAACAGGAAGGAGGCTGTGACAGGAAGCAGCTTTTAGAGTGAAAGGAGCCCTGGACTAAGAATGAATGTTCCCAGGATCTATCTTCAGCAATGTCTTTAGCAACTGTGGGCAACTGATTAATTTATCCTTCCTGGGTTTCTGTCTCTAAATCTGTAAAAGCAAACAAATTGTCTCTTGCATTCAAATGTGGGAACACTTATGACTATATTTCACAATGAGATAAAGCCCCTTGCTGTGTGGTGTTGGAGAAGGCACTTGATGTGGTGGCATTTGGTGGTAGGAAGTGGTTTAGACTGGAGCACTCCCCATGGAGAGATTGTCCCCGGTTAACACAGTGGAAGCCACTTGGAGGGCCCATGAAGTCCCTAATGTATGGAATACTGTGGGACAAGGTTGTTTGTCCTGTTCGAAGAGAAAGATATAGGTTCTAAATGCGAACTGTGACAGGATACAGAGCCTGTGCGTGGGAATCAGATCTGTGGCAGGATTGGGGAGACAGCTGCTGAAGTTCAGAGAGAGGCTGGGCAAGCCTCCAGTGATATGAAGAGGAAAAGGTCTTTTCAATATTTGGCCACATCTTGATGGTGACCCTCCAGATCAGAAACGCATTGCCTCATGGATCAGGAAAACATGCCAGGGCATTTTTTTAGAGATAAAACATGAGAGCTTTCAGCACAGTGTGGACTTATACATGTAGATGTTTATGTCCCTGTGCACATAGGGCTCACTGTGCTTGCAGTGGGTGAAATGGGAAATATTTCAATGGACACATCTGTATTTGCAGAAAATGATGAAGATGAAGATGAGGATGAAGACGACAAAGACGAGGAGGTTGAGAAAGTACAGGAATCACCTGCCCCCAGGTAACATTGAATAATCAGGAGCGGGTAATGGGTGGTAAAATATGAAAAAGGTCTCAGAAAGAATAAAAGGGAGGTGAAGGTAGTCACAGATTCCAGAGGCAGGATAAAGAAAGCTGCAGAGTGCACTGATTTCATGTGCTCACCCAACAAGGAAATAGCCCCATTAACGTGCTTGTCCATTGTCTTCCTGGTGCCTGTAAGCATGACCCTAGATGAACTCACCATCCCTAGGTACTTCCTGCACACACAGAGGAGACCTGTTCTCCCCTGTAGTGAAAGCCAGGATGAGATGTAAAGCTGCTTTCTACACTGTTGTCTTTAGGTTCTTTTTAGGAAAGATAAATAGCAGAGAGGCAACAAGCAGAGGAAATAGGAAGCACCTAGCAAAGTTGAACACAAAGTACAGTACCTAGACAAAAAAATTTACATTTCATGTCACAATATTAAAATTTTAAAAAAACTAGAAGGCACACCATCTCTGAAGTCTACAATGGCTCAAATGCCTGTATAGCCATGGCCACAGTATGTTAACTACAACCCAGCTTAGACACACCATGTGGCAGCTGTTTTTGGTTCTCTGTGTGTGCTGTCAAGACTGTACCATACAGGGACAGCTGAGTCTTCGTCCTCCTCAGCTCCTATCTGCCCAGTTCAATGATCACTAGCTGCTGTCTTCCTCTCTGGTTCCCATGGCAGCCACGCTCTGTTGCAGACAGAAAAGGATTGCCTGTTCCCTCTTAAAAGGAACCTCTCCTTTGCATTCTGGGACCACTCTCTTAAGCCTCCTTTCAAAACCACCTAGGACTTCTTGGGGTGCAATGCCTTTTGGATTAATCTTCTGTCATCTCTATCCCACTGGGCTCATCAGGGAGGTGCAGAAGACTGAAGAAAAGGAAGTCCCTCAGGACTCACTGGAGGAATGTGCTGTCACTTGTTCAAATAGTCACAACCCTTCTAACTCCAACCAGCCTCACAGGAGCACCAAAATCACATTTAAGGAACACGAAGTTGACTCTGCTCTGGTTGTAGAGAGTGAACACCCTCATGATGAAGAGGAGGAAGCTCTAAACATTCCCCCAGGTAGCCTCTCTATTCTTTGTCCCTCCTAGCTCTGTCTAGGCTGAGGAAGATCAATTCTGAGGACAGACTGTATACATACATATTGGTTTGAATCACAAAGTATAGTGGAGCCGGGGGCGGTGGCTCCCACCTATAATCCCAGCACTTTGGGAGGCCCAGGCGGGTGAATCACTTGAGTTCAGGAGTTCAAGACCAGCTTGGGAAATGTGATGAAACCCATCTTTACAAAAAACATGAAAAACTAGCCAGGCATGGTGGTGCGTGCCTGTCATCCCAACTACCCAGGCAGCAGAGGCGGGAGAATCACCTGAGCCCAGGAAGTAAAGGCTGCAGTGAGCCACAATTGCACTCCAGCCTGAGTGACAGAGTGAGGCTGTGTCTCAAAAAAAGAAAAAGAAAGAAACAGAGAGAGAGAGAGGAGAGAGAGAGAGAGAAAGAGAGGAAAGAAAGAAAAAGAAAGAAAGAAAGAAAAAGAAAGAAAGGGAGAGAAGGAAAAGAAAAGAAAGAAAGAAAGAGAGAAACTATGATAGAATATTAAACACAGTTATGTGAGGGTCAGAGAACATTCCTCTCCTCCTAGGCCCATGGCATGGACTTTGTCTTCCTGGCCCCAATATTAGCATACTGGACCACAGGCAGGTGTGACAAAGTCATAGCCACCTGTGTACAGGAGGTATCTGTCAGGCCTCCTGGCTCGGTTCCTATGTCTCTTGTCACATGCAATAATGATTTGTGTCCCTGAACAATGTCCATGGAGTTTCTATGCCTGTCACAGGCGACTGACAGTCTTGCCTATGTAATTGGAGATGTGTCTCTGGATTCACTGTTCTCGGCCCCAGGCTTGGTCTCCTTTAGGTCAGCTTGTCCCAGCTAAGCAGTCACCTTGAAAGCAGGACATAAACACTTCTACCTTTATCTTGCTTATAAGTTTCCCTAAACGAGGCTGGGCCCTGAGTTCTTCACCCCATGAGCGGTCAATGTTTCTGTGTAGCACCGCAGACTCTTTTTTATGCAAGGATTGTTAGAATTTATCCATCAGTTCAGTCTCCTATACAAATTTCTCTAACCATTCGTTGACCATGATATATGATGAGATAAATCAGTATTGCAACAACACTTCTGGAGAGTGGTTAGGGCAATTTTTGAAAATCTTGGGGAAAAAGTTTTGTTTAATTGTTTGCACAGACTTAGGTCAGAGGATAGGTGATTATGATCTACCAGATGAGGGAGATTTTGTCCTATGGGTCTGGAAAGCAGGCACATCTACTTCTGAAAATAAGTCAGAATGATCCTGTCAAAATGTCACATTCTTACACTGAGGATATTTATGTTCTTGTGCTATGACTGGACACTTATTTGCTCTTGTGTGATTTCCTTACTGTGACCTGCTCTTCTGAATTTGTTTACAGAAAATCAAAATGACCATGAGGAGGAGGAGGGGAAAGCGCCAGTGCCCCCCAGGTAACTGTGGATTTGTGGGCTGTTAGTTCAATAGTGACATCTGGACACCACGGATCAAGGGAAAATAGGAAGTGACGAATAGAACTGTCTCATCCATTCATCCAAGTGCAAATTGCCCCTTTAACAATGTTGTCTTCTTTATTGTGGTACTTGAATAGGTTTCAATTTCTTAATCCCTCTCAAGCATAGGAACCGACAATCACTTGAACCAGGTGAACTGACCAACCTCAGGGATTTCCTGATCTCACCTGTGGTCTCCCATGTGGCTAATCCAGGGTGAGATGCATATATGCTTTCTGTATGTTTTGTGACAGCATGTTGGCAAGTATTTGAATGCAATCGAGAAAATTAAAAATAAAAATTTCATATTATGTCAAAATATTGAAAAAAAAGGGGGACCTTAAAAACACAGGATCTGTGCGTTGGGAATGCCTCAAGAGCTGTGTTCACTTGGATGCTGCATGTAATGTCAACGCAATTTGTGTAAAGGAAGTGAAGTCCCAGCTTAGTTCTCAGTGCTGCAAGTCATGATGCTTGATGCTAGTTTACAGGGAGAGTCTGGGTCCTCCTGCAGCCGCTCGTTTGTGGCAAGTGCACTGAGCACCTGCTGCTCATGTTTGCTCTGTCTCCAGGACAGTCACACTCCACCCCACATTTAGAAGGATAGATTTTTCTCTCTTGGAGGAGACCCCCCTTTGCTTTCTGTGACCACACCCTTTGTGTCCTATCAAATCACCTGAGATACTATGGTGTTGAATCTGTCTTGGTCTAACCTTCTGTCGTTCTATCCTACCTGGCTCATCAGAAAGCTGCAGGATTCTGAAGAGAAGGGAGTCCTGCAGGACTTGCCAGAGAAATGTGTTTTGTCTCATTCTAGACACCATGACAAGTCCAACTCTTACCGGCATCGTGAAGTCTCTTTCTTGGCATTGGATGAACAGAAAGTTTGCTCCGCTCAGGATGTTGCCAGGGATTACTCCAATCCCAAATGGGATGAAACCTCACTTGGCTTCCTCGGTAGGCTCCCTATTGTTTGTACCCCAGATTTGTCCATAGTGACGGATGTCATACCTTCAGGAAGACTCTATGCTTATATACTGGTTAAAACCAGGCTCTAGGATTGAGTTTGAAGGAAGGCATCCTATAAGTCAGAGTTGTGCTCCATTCTAGTCCAAAACCACACATTGTCTTTCATCATTGCCCCATTGGCAGATCACTGTACCCAAGGTTGACCTGACAAATTCATACCCACCTCTGCAGCCTGGGTGCAGGATGTATCTACCAGTCCTCCTGATTTAGATTTAATCTGTCATCTCACATGAAATCTAATTTTCCCTCCTAAACAACCTGAGTTTCTCTGCCTGTCCAAGGCCACTGGCAGCCTTATCGATATTCTTGGAGCTGTCATTTCCCTCGTTCACTTCTCTCAGGCTAGACTCCCTCCCCTTTTAGTAGGCTTGTCTTAGCTAAGAAGTCTCTGAGTACCAGAACATGAACACCACTATTAAATTTTGTATGTTTCTCTGAAAGGAGGCCGGGCCCTGGAACTCCCTGCCATATGAAAGGCCAATGTTTCCATGTAGCATTAGAGATTCTTTTGATTTAATCTGTCCCTCTAAATGCAAATTCTACAAAAACACTGACAACAGCTTATCAGAAGGAAACATGCTGAATACTGCAGTAACCTGCTAGGAAGCATTAAAGTAGATCCCCAGGATCTGTTAGTAAACAGGATATGGTTAACAGTTTGCTGTGACTCAAGACAGAAGGGACTGTGATGATGACCTGTCAGATCAGGGAGATTTGCTCCATGACTCAGGAAAGCAAACCTAGTGACTTCTCACAAGGCTCACCCTGAGACGTCCTGGAAAGTTTCTCTCACAATAGCCTGTTCTCGCACTGCGTATATTTATGCCCCTATGAAGATTTGGACACAAGGTTGTGCATGTGTGAATGTGATCAGGTTCACCTGGCTGGTCTTCTCTTAATTTATTTACAGAAAAGCAAAATGATCTTGAAGAGGTGAAAGGACAAGAAACAGTTGCTCCCAGGTAATTGAGAAAAATCAGGGGCTGTCTATTCAGGGGTGATATCTGTGAAACTCATCTCCACAGAAAACCAGAAAGTCCTGAATATACCTAATTCATCCCTTCAGCCAACCAGAAATGATCTTTTTTAACCATGTTTTACATTTTCATTGTGAAACTTTTAATGTTTGCCATTTCTTATTAACTTCTCAAGTTCAGTACATCAAACCACTTGACCTTGTGAACAACTAATCAGTCACACAGATTTCCTTAAAGTAAGTATACTCTTCTTATGGTGTCAACCAGCCTGAGATGCATATCTGCTTTCTGCTGGTTTTGCATTAGCACAGTGGTGAGCATTTCAAGGCAAGGAAATTAGGTAGAAAAAATTATTGTTATACCATGCACAATATTGAGAGAAAGAGGACTTGATGCCATGCGATTTCGGGGATACGATTATGCCTCAAAACCTATGTTTACTTGGCCACTACACATAAAATTTAACATCATTTAAAAGAAAGGAATGAAACCACTGTTATGGGACATGATATTCAGTAAGTCACGACTCTACCATACAGAGAGACTCAGTCTCCTTCCTCAGAAAATCATAATCTGGCTACTTTGCTGAGCACCTGATGCTTCTCTCTCTCTCATCTCTCTCTTTCCCTCTCTCTGTATTGCAACCTACCCATGGCAACCACACTGTGCCCACCAAGAAGAGGAGAATATTTAACTGTTTAATGGGTTGACCCATTTGTTTTCTGCGATCACTCCCTCATGCCTCACGTGAAATCCAGCTAGGGCTCTGAAACTCCTTGGATTAATCTTTAGTCCTTCTTACCCTACAGGCTCAGCAGGGGACCGCTGAGAGTGGACAAGCATGAAATCCCCCAGGAGTCACTGGATGGATGTTGCTTGACTCCTTCCATCCTTCCTGACCTGACTCCCTCCTACCACCCTTATTGGAGCACTTTGTACTCTTTTGAAGACAAGCAAGTCAGCTTGGCTCTTGTAGACAGTGAGTACTCCATTGTGAACATGATAAATCTCCAATTGGTGTCCCAGGTAGACTCCGTAATCCTTGCACTTCACATCCCTGGCTGGACTGAGATGTGTCATTGGTGTGGGCGTGACTCACAGACACAGGATGATTTGCATCAGCATCAAAAATCAAGTTGGAAGCACAGACAGGGGTGGGTCAGTGAGCTTTGCTCTCTTCCTCATCTCAGACCATGCCTGTGTCACCCTGCGCCCACTGTCACGACATTGACAAATTCACACCAACCTATGCAGCACGTGCCCAACAGGTGTCTGTCAGGCCTCTTAATCTGAATAAGATTTGTCTTGCCAGCTATCGTGTTCCTTACAAGTTCCTTTCCCCAACCATGTCCTGTGAGATTCTATGCCTGCCCAATGCCTGTGGCATTTTTGTCTACTTTTCATTAAAGATATTACCCAGGTTTCAAAGAACCTAGCCTCATTCTCTATGTCTTTGATGTTATCCTGTTTTAGCTGAGCAGTCCATTACCTTTTGTTATGTTTCTAGAAACAAGATTGGGCCTTGTCACTCCTAGATGTCACGAATAGCCAATGTCTCTTTGTATTGAACCAAAGATTCATTTTCATTCAAGGGTCTGTAGATTCCCTCCTACATTCTAGTTTCAGTGTCTAAAATCCTTGTAACCATGAACAACGTGAGTATTTGATGATTGAAAGCTGAATATTGCAGTTTTCCTTCTAGAAAGCAGCTGGGGTATTTGCCTTCAACTGGTGTGAAAAATTTGCATAACTGTTTGCACAAAATCAGGACAGATGATGTTGGGATAATGATCTACCAGAACAGGGAGATTGCATTCCTAGGCCCAGGGAAGAAAACCAAGGCATCTCTCTCATGACAGGACCTCAGGCCTCCTGGAATATTTCTCTCACAGTGTCCTGTTCTCCCACTGAGGAAACTGACATTTCTGTGTTAGGATTGCACAGTGGATTGTTTATGTGTGTAGGAGAACCTGCTTAATCTGTCTGTCCCTTTGTGAATTTATTTACAGAAATTAAAAAGGATCAAGAGGAGATAGAAGACCAAAGCCCACCATGCCCCAGGTAACTCTGAGGAATCCTGAACAGTTAATTCAGTGTTGATATCTGGAGTCTCAGATGCAGGGAAAATCAGAGTGTGCTGAATATACCTGTTCCATCTGTTCAGCCAACCATGAAATGCCATATTCATAAGGTTGACTCTTTTCATTGTACACCTGTATTTCTAGTTCCTCCTTATTAATTCCTTTCAATTCGTCTAATCTGCATTCAGTTGACTCTGTTGAACTGATCACTCACAGACATTTTCTGCAGTCCCCTTTTCTGTCCTTTTTGCTTAAAGTGAAGTTGAGTTGCACATCTGATGTCTGCCTCTTTGGCATTACCATGTTTGCAAGTATTCGATAGCAGGGAAGTGAATGAAAATAAATCATGCCATGCTACAATGTTGAGAACAAGAGCTGTTGAGGATACAGGAACTCTGTGAAGACTCAAGAGCCTGTATTCATTTGGCCACTGACGCTAATTTCAACAAAATGGATGCAAAAGTGCCAAATGCACTGTGTCCTGGCAGTTCCCCACAGGGATCACTCCATCTGCTTCCTCCCCAGCTCATTGCCTGCCCAGTGCACTGAGAGCCTGTCGTGCTCTGTCTCCTACTCGAGACAGGGAAGGATGGTTGTATCTCTCTCAGGGGAATGTACTTTGCTTCCTCTGGGCCTTCCTAAGGGCCTCCCTATAGAACCAGCTGGGTGTTGGTTCTCTCTGGTGTTTATCTTCTGTCTTCTTTACCCCAGGCTCAGCCAGGAGCTGCCAGAGGTGAAGGAGCAGGAAGTCCCAGAGGACTCTGTGAATGAAGTTTACTTGACTCCCTCAGTTCACCATGACGTGTCTGACTGCCACCAGCCTTATAGCAGCACCTTGTCCTCATTGGAGGATCAGCTTGCCTGCTCTGCTCTGGATGTAGCCTGTGAGTACTTCACCCTGGAGATCACAAAGCTCCACTGTCCTCCCAGGCAGCCTCTGTATGTTTTGTTTCCTGCAACTTGTGCAGCTGAGACAGACCATCTCTGCAGCAGGCTCTATACACTGAGCTTGTTTTGAATCTGGCTCTTGGATCCAGTTTTAAGCACAGACATCCACTGGGTAGAACTTCCTCTTCTCCTGTTCCAAGTGCCTCCTCTGTCACCTGGCTCCTTCTCACAGGAGCAGGCTTTGGCTATCAAAACAGGCCAGAGAAGGGAGTGGTGAGGGCTTATGGCAAATTCCTGGCCACAGTAGCTCAGCTGGAGAAATTTATGTAACAGCCCTCCTTCTTTAAGATAGGGCATCTCTCTTTTCTGAAATTATCTTGCTAATTCCATGTCTTTATCTCTTCTCTGGCCATCCACATATGTTGGGAGTTTTGCCCAATTATTTGGAGGCCTGTTTCATGATTCCTGTGTCCCAAGCTAGATTCTCTTCTCCAGGGATCCCCAGCCCTGGGGCCATGGGCCATTATGGGTCCATGACCTGTTAGGAACTGGGCCGCAGAGCAGGAGGTGAGCGGTGGGAGAGCATTTCAGCCTGGATCCCACCTCCTGTCAGATCAGCAGTGGCATTAGATTCTCACAGGAGCTCGAACTCTATTGTGAATTGTGCATGCCAGCAATCTAGATTGTGTTTTCCTTACGAGAATCTAATGCCTGATGATCTGTCACTGTCTCCCAGTAACTGTCACCCCCAGGTGAGACCATCTAGTTGCAAGAAAACAATCTTAGGGCTCCCACTGATTCTGCATTATGGTGAGTTGTATAATTATTTCATTATATATTCCAATATAATGTTTATAGAAATGAAGTGCACAGTAAATGGAATGTGCTTGAATCATCCCAAAACCATCCCCCCCAACCTGGTGCCTGAAAAATGGTCTTCCATGAAACCAGTCCCGGGTGCCAAAAAGATTTGGGACTGCGGCTCTACTTCCTCTGAGGTGTCTTCCCTCCACTGACGCAGTCCAGCGACCCTTCCTTTATGTGTGGCCGGGCTTGCATCCTCTGCAGAGCTCCAGTGGTTTTCTCCATGTGTGGGTTTGTAGTGTCAATCAAGTTTTGGTCTCAGTGCTCTATTCTCATGAAAACCATCGACAACTAGTGTCCCTCATGAGGCTCTGGCCTAACTGATGAGCAAAGCAGAGTGGTTCCTGTCCCCATGAGGTCCAGAAAACCCTTCCTCTGAGCAATCGCCCCTTGAGATAGCAGCTTCACAGGATGTGTAAAAAGAAAATCCAATTTTCATTTCTTCTTGCTCATTCTCTTTTTTTTTTACTTCAATTCTGGGAATTTCATGTGGATTGTTGGGGGTTTTACCCATTACATTATCTTCTAGTAAGAGCAAGGAACTCTGTGATGTCCCCCAGTATATTGGATTATGTTGTAACGAGATTAGCAAAAATGCCAGGTGTGTTGATTCATGCCTGTAATTCCAGCACTTTGGGAGGCTAAGGAGGTGGATCGCATGAGCTCAGGAGTTTGAGACCAGTGTGGGTAACATGGTGAAACCGTATCTGTAAAAAAAAATTAGCAGAGTATGGGGGTACACACCTGTAGTCCCAGCTTTTTGGGAGGCTGAGGTGGAAGGATCACCTGAGCCTGGTTAGTTGAGGCTGCAGTGAGCCACGATTGCACCACTGCACTCCAGCCTGAGCAACAAAGTGAGACCCTGTGTCACACACACACAAAGAAAGAAACTAGCAACAAAAATGTTGGCCTCTATTCTATTTTGGTAAGTGCCTTTCATACTGGGACCAGCCCCTTTCCCATTTTGCATTTCTCCCTGAGTTTCAAAAAAGCAAATGCTTTTCTAGCATCACAGTGATTCATGAAACAATTAGAATACACACTGACCTTGCAAGTGCCTTTCATACTGGGACCAGCCCCTTTCCCATTTTGCATTTCTCCCTGAGTTTCAAAAAAGCAAATGCTTTTCTAGCATCACAGTGATTCATGAAACAATTAGAATACACACTGACCTTGCACCTGCTGTATGCCCTGCCCCTTTGCAAGCAAGCTCTGTCCTGCTATAAACCATTCAGGGATCAAGGGACACGCCCAAGTGGGCAGTGGCATCTCCATGTTGGAGCTGAGAACAATGAGGCATTTTTAAGAAAACTTAGAAAACCTTGGAGAGAATGAAGATGTGGAGAGGGGAGGAGAGAGAGGAGCCCCACAGCAACGTGGATCCAGTCTGCAGGCCCCGTCCCCATCTTGAGACCGACCTGGACTGGCGTGAGGTCATTGGAAGTCTTTTCTTAGTCCACTCAGAACGTGTATTCCTCTCCCTGTGGAAATGGAAACAATTTGTTTAAGGGGTGCCACCCGAACCCCACTGGAGGAGTGGGTAATGTGAGGATCGTGTCCTGTGTTGCCTTCCTAAGGAACCGCACATGCTGATCTGTAGCACTTGTGGCCCCTGAATTTGCAGGAAGAGACTGGTCCCTCTCCTACATTGCCTATGTCTGCTGACACCCACTATATGGCAAGAGGATGGATATGTGTGGGTAGGGGGTCAAACCATTATAGTCAATGGGAAATTCAAAATGTCCCCGAACCCAGAAAAGTTTGCCTCACTTAGCGTTTGGTCTGTAGCATCCCAGCCCCCTTTTTCGTGGTTCTTTCTCAAAGCCTCGCAGCTCTAACCCTTGACCCGTTCTTACACCCCTGTGTGTGGAGAAAAATAACCATTCCTCTCCTGTGCTCTGAGGCCTCTCTAGAACTTTCCCTCTGGGCACAGGAAAGAGATGAATAGTAACAGAATAATCGGGATGGTCTTGTTAGACAATCCAAAGCCCTCTGGGCTGAAGCAGAGGTTTTTCACCTCAGGGACACCCCAGCCTGGGCCCCTACCGTGTCAGCGTCCCCAGGCACAGGCAGGAGAGGTGACGTCACCTGCATTTACATGATGTCTGTCTGTGTGGCGTGGGTCACTGGGTGGCTTTACTGAGAGCAGGGACATCAGGGATGGGTGTTCTGGGATGACTTAACAAAGGGAAAACTGAGATTGTTCCTACTGAAGCCCCTTCTCCTTTCAGCCCCCACCGAGGCGGCCTGTCCCCAAGGGACTTGGAGTGGAGACTTGAGCCACCACCAGTCAGAGGTGCAAGTTTCACAGGCACAGCTGGAACCAAGCACCCTGGTGCCCAGTTGTCTGCGACTACAGCTGGATCAAGGGTTCCACTGTGGGAACGGCTTGGCCCAGCGGGGCCTTTCCTCCACCACCTGCAGCTTCTCAGCCAATGCTGATTCTGGGAACCAATGGCCCTTCCAAGGTAGGGAAGGAAACGGCGTCATGAAGCTCTAATCCAGGTGTTGGTGGTCACGACGGTGCTGTGGGTGGAGGAGAGAATGGGGCCTCCCATGCTTCCTCAGGGTCAAGTTGAAATCCATGATGCTCCAACCCAGTGAGGTGAGCAAAGGCCTGGAGCTTAGGACCGAATCTGCTCTCAGGACCTGGGTTTGCCACTTTCTGCTTGTTGACTTTGGCCAAGGTTTTTGTCTTTTTGCTCTTTATATCTCTGTTCCCTCATCTAAGATACCTGAAGAATAATATCTACCTGCAATCATAATTTCCAAAGGGCCTGATTCCATAAGAATTGCCCAATAAACCTATGAGTAGGTGTTATCTAATCCTTTTATCTTTCTGCTAAATTTACACTTAGCAAGTGACTTCACGGATGATGTCTCCTCTGAGGTAGAGCAGTTATGAAGATCTCTGCTTTCTAGGACCCCTCTTCCTTTCCTTTCTCACACAGACTCCTCTGCCAGTTTTCTTCCTCTCCTTCTCCATCCCTCATGAAGCCAATTTTCCCCTGTCAGGCACTTTCAATAACAACCTATGAGGCACATTGAGTAACAGTGTAAATCCTGGGCCCACACTCAGTCTCCTGACGTGTCCAGCTGCTTCTGCTGTTTTTTCTGCTTTTTTTGAAATAAAAGGGCAACTTTCACATGGAAAGTGTTCACATCAGTCTCTTTTATGAAATTCCATTTAGTTCACATTCTCCACTCATGTCCGTGGCCATGTCCTCGGTTTCTGTCTCACAGGGATCCATTTCTGCTCAGATTACCTTAAAATCCTGGGTCGTGTTCATTCTCACTCTCCATCCCACTCAATATCTCCTCCTGGAGCCCCTGGGGCTGCCTGGTGCTCATCTGTCAGGCGATGCCCTCAGCTGAGGAATGAGGGAACCCCTGTCCTCAGGGGGAGGGAGGGTTGCGTGAGATAATGAGCACCATCTGGGCCAGTGGAGAGGACACATGGAAGGTGCTCCGGGAGTGTCGGGGGATGTGCAGTCCCTGACACATGCCATGATAACTTATTTAGACTGATTTCTTAGCACTGAACTCTCTTTTGCTTCTCTGTGGATTCTCACACCCCCAGCCAAGACTCACCCCACTGGCTCAGACACACTCCCTCTTGCTCACTTTCCCTGGAGTCCAGAGCCTGAACCAGGCTCCAGGTAAGAGGACAGACTGAACGCCTTTCGTTTCATTAACACTTTCCTTCACCTGGTGATTTCTCCCTGCTGTCTACCAGGTCATTTGTTTCTCCCATACCTATTCTTTCTCATTCTTCTCATGTCTCCAATTATTTTTCCAATTTCGATGGACCAGAATAGTGACTCTACTCTTACATTCAATCCCTCCCAAATCCCTATATTTTTTTTCTTTAAATTAATGTGTACAGATACATGCATGTGTATCATTTGTCCTATTACGTGTGACTATGTATATCTGGTGTGTATGCTATATAGGGTGTATATATATATGCAGTAGATCATATAATGATGCAACTTTTGTAAATTCTCTAGGTTTAGTCTTCCTGGTTCTTTCCTCTCATCAGTTGCTGTCACCTATGTCTGGTCTCACCTCTGTGCCACATGGGCTGCCACCCTGCCAGGCCCTTCCATTCCCATCTCCTGTTTGAACCCAGTTCTTATTTAACTTTGATTTTTGTAATCTCTTCTCTCCCCAAAGCATAGCCTACATACAGTGTTATTTCCTTGCCTTTGCCTTATCTACCTGGAAGCTATTTGTGTTTCTGAATCCTATGTTTCTGGAATATTTTTGTGACTTGGCAGTGCCTTTGGATCCTGGCAATCTTGTCGTTACTGAGTAATGTAGGAAAGATCAACAAAAAAGAAAGTATTAAAGTGACTCTATCGGCTTCCCCTCGCCCTTTGGACTTTCTTGTCCAAGGCTCTTTCCTGATTTGATGTCCTCTGGGTGGAAGAGAAAGTTACGGTAAGATCATGGATGGCAGCGGATCCCATTGGCTGTGGTTTTCTTTTCAGAGCTGGTTTTAGAGCCCTCTCTGGGGATGAAGAACCCTCCCCAGCTGGAAGATGATGCACTTGAAGGCTCAGCAAGCAACACACAAGGGCGTCAAGTCACTGGCCGGATTCGTGCCTCCCTTGTCCTGATACTGAAGACCATCAGAAGAAGACTCCCGTTCAGCAAGTGGAGACTGGCATTCAGATTCGCTGGCCCGCATGCTGAGAGTGCAGAGGTAATCACATCTATGGCTGATAGCTGCACTCACTTCTTATTTCTCTGTCTATGGTGACAGCTCATTCTCTCACTGCTTTTTCTCTCCCATTTGTTCTCTCCAACAGCTGCTCTAACCTCTGTCTGGTCTTAGCTCTGTGTCCCATGGGCTCCCACCCTGACTGGCCCCTTCTCTACCCATCTTCTCTTTACTCTCTGAACTCTGCTCTATTCCTTTTTCTACTGTCTTGAGAGTCCCTCTCATGGCCACAGGAGAGCCAGGCCTCCTTGTCCCCATCCAAGTACATAGTTTAAGCTGCTGAACACAGGGTTGTTTGCCCGGAATCACACACTCCTTTGGGAAATTTACCTTTCCTTGCTGCATCCCCAACTCCATTGCCTCTTTGTGTAGAAATCATTGCTTTAATACGTCATTTACACGAAGATTTTCCTCTTGAGTCCTCTTTTGAGCAACACAACTAATTCAACTCTTAATCATCACTTGTTCCTCTGAATGAGAAGTGTTAAAACTAAGCACTAAGAGCCCCCCTAGGAAACTAAACTAGAACCAGGGTCACAGGTGGGAGTTCCCTGCTGGCCTGGAGTCAGGTTTGTCTTTAGCCCCAGATGTGCAGCTTAGTGCCAACGTGGATGGAGTTGCCAGGGTCTCAGTGTTCTCACCTCATGGACTCACTTGAGCTGATGTTAACTGGGGAACATTTATGACATTCTAAAGGGACATCACTCCAAAAGTACATGCAGAGGGCAGGACTTGAAAACTGCATACATCATGAGGTACGTCATTCTAACCTCTCTCCTTTTTATTCTCATTTCCACTTTTCAAGTCCAGTTAAGGGTCTGAAATGCAAGTCAGATGAATCTTGAGGCCATTGTATATGAGAGAGCATTTTATGAATTAACTTTGAGAAAAGTGACTCCAGGACCAGCTTTATGCATACACTAGATGACAGGAATCTGTCTACAGGACAGTCTTTGCTTCGGTGCAGCCCAATTGATAAGACAGAGATTTAACTGAAATTGTCAGAGAGAAGGCTAAAATCCATGGAACCACTGGGAACAAAGCCAGTCATGAGATAAATGGGGAAAGGAAAGAAAATGATGGGAAATTGGGCTGGTCCATTTAGTATCTCTAAATCCTGCTGCCATGTAATAAGCACCCGGTGAGATTTCAATTAAGATGAATGCCTTCAACTTACACTTAGAGATGCTCACTTACATGGCCTGGGGTGTGGTCTGAGCATCTGTAGTTTCAAAATGCTCCCATGTGATTCTAATATGTGGCTAAAGACGAGAAGGACCCCTGGTCTACTATGACCTCAGGTTACCAACATGGAAGTGCCACATATGTGTGGCTACTCCACAGAAAAGGCTGAGCCTCTATCAGACTTTGATGGGATCTGTATTCCCCTCTCAATAGTACTCTTCGTATAGCATAGAAAAAAATCAAGAAGAAAAACAAGAAAATTAATAGATTAGACTTTTAGCCTCTGCTTGAAGCACACTTGCTGAATTTTGAATACAAGATAAGTAAGAAATAGTCATGATATTAACACCTAATGTACGGAAATAATACCTGCCATATTACATATAGTGGAATTTAGTATTTTCTTTTGCATTTTAAAATAAAACTTCCAGTTTACATTTCCCCACACCCATTTTATAGCCCACCAATGGTCTCACCACTGCAATGTGAAAATTTTACTTTTGGTCAATTATTGTCCTTCTGCAAAATCCCCAAAGAGAACTCATTGGTCCCCCTGTCCTGAAGAGCATACAATAACAAATTAAGACTGAAATGCTGCAAGAGATTGTATATGAATACTTCTTCATGCCTCTCTTCACACTGGCATAAAATATTAAAAAGAAACCTTTCTCATAATGTACTTGGGGAAAACAATAAGCGGGACGGGAGACTGTAGTAAAACACAAACTAATCCTTTTCACTTTGTACTTCAGAGTTTTCTTGGTCTAGATATTGAGAATATTTCTAGAAATGCCTTAAGGTGGAACCGGATGTGGAATCAACATCAGGGCATTAGGGAAAATAAGTTGGGCCATGGTTACAGTCCCTTTTCTCACTTTGCTAACTCCATTTTGAGTCTCTTTTTTTAAACTCCCTTTCTTTCCTGATGACCTTTGGACAAAAACTTATAATTATATATATTTTTTATTTTTTTAACCAACCAAAGAAACAGCAGCACCATCATATTTATCTGTAAAACCTTATTCCTGTCCTAGCCAAGGTGACCCAACCACCACTCATGACTGTTGAGACCTCCAGATTGGAGCCTTTCCTCTCGCTTTCTCCAATCTTTATTGAAAGGCCTTAGTGGGTGGATTCTAATTCCTGGGTTGTCAATAGCAAGTCATGTGGCCTTAGTTCCATCTTACCCCTGTGGCATCACTACTCCTCTGTTGTAAAATGTGGACCTGGACGTGGATGTTGTCTGAGGTTTCTGCTGCTTCTCATATCCAGGGTTCTTCCCATGGCCCTCCCGCTCCTCCCTAGAAGACTAGGACATGGAGTTGTAAGGGGGTGGGTTTCTCTGCAGAGGCTCCTGTCCTTCTGCTCCCCTCTGTTTCTTGGCATGCATGATTGATGCTGAGTACATGCTCACTGGGAGGAAAAGCCATCACTCTGCTCCAGACAGAGGGGATCAGGAGGAAAGGGGATGATGTTGCCCACTGCTGGTTGGGCATAGGTGGGGTCCTTATATCCTGCACCCCAGGCTGACTGGAAGTTCAGGAGTGTTTTCTTCTCACTTGTGGATGGTGCTTCCCCCTTCTGACAGCCCAGGACTCACCCTTCAGCTCATCCTCCCAGCAGGAGATCCCAGTGAGATATCACTGCTTAGCAATCCCTCCAGACTCAGCCATCAGGTGGACCTGACAAAAATGCTCATTTGATTTTTTTTCTCTCTCTCCCCTACAGATACCAAATACTGCTGAAAGGATGCAAAGGATGATAGGATGAAAGAATGTCACAAAAAGCAGCTTTTCCACTTGATAAAAACAACTAAAACAGCAAAGCAAGTTTAAGTCCAAACACAATATTGCAGGGGTCCTTCACTGAGGATTGAATTTCAGACACAGAATACTCTTGATGACTTCAAGCCACTATGCTCCTTTGATTTGAGAAGCCACATTCCATCCCCCTCCAATTGTGATCAATACCTAGGGAGACCAATGCCCAGATGGACAAATAGCATTGACTGGCATTAGCCCTGTTTCTCAATTCCCATCATGTAGAGAACAGGAGTCCGCAGCTGCTGGCAGGAGACAGCATGTCAGCCGGGACTCTGCCAGGGCAGAGTATGAGCAATGCCATGTTCTTGCTGAAAACGTTTAGCCTGAGTTTCATAGGAGGTAACCCTCAGATAACTGCAGAATGTAGAACATTGAACAGGACAACTGACATGTCTCCTTCAAACAGTCCATGTCACCACCAAGAAAACAACAAAAAGGAGAAGAGACATTTTGAGTTCAAAAAGAGTAAAAAGCCTATGCAGCTTATGCTTTTTTAGTCATTTTGAACCCAAAACATCTCCTTATCTTTTTGTTGTTGTCATCAATGGTGGTGACATGGACTTGTTTGTGGAGGACGGGTCAGCTCTCTGGCTCAATGGTCTACATTCTGAAGTTATCTGAAAATGTCGTCATGATTAAATTCAGCCTAAACATTTTACCAGGAACTCTGCAGAGTCCATGCTGTGAGCTTCCTACCTCAGCCCATCTGCAGGCAGAGAAGGCCCAGTGTGTCCATCCCCAGTGCGGTGATACTAGGATGTTCACTTGGTCAAGGAGGGGTCTAGGAGCTCTGTCCCTTGTAAAGACACCTTATTTATAATTAAATTGGAAAGTGGTTTGAAATAGTATAAATATCCTGTATTCTAACAATCTTCTTCTGAGTATTTTATCATCAATTAATCACCCCTGCCTGTGTCAGTTATTATATTTATGTTTTTACATTGGAAATTGTCTTCTCAAAATTTTACTATGTACTTGTTTTTGCTGGCATTCTGTCGTAAAAAGGAACATTCCCTGCCCAAAGTTTGACTTTCATCCAAAATTAATTTTAGTCCATTAAAGTTAAAATGTTAAAGTTTTAAATCACTTTAATTAAATTTTTTTGCCTATCACCCTGGACTAGTGAATTTTTCACATACAATGTTTTAAGCTTTTATTTTATTATTGGTTTTCATGGATAAGAATATAGATTAATAAAAACATTCTTATTTACCTGTTTATATTCTAAAGTATTCCATATTTTAGTCTTATTTACCATATGTAGTAGATTGTATTTACTGTATTTCTTTGTCAATGTTATTTGTTTTGTTTGTGTGTGTGTGCATGTGTGTGTGTGCCTTTTGTTTGTTATTTAGGAAGGGTTGTATAGATCCTGTTTAACATTGCACTAAAAAGGTTTTGACATCAGTAGTCCCCTTTTAACCTGACACATTTCTAATATTTGGTTTATAAATTTTAAATTATATCTGTCAACTTCAAATTTTTACCACTGTAACAATCAAAGAAATTATTTTTGTCTTCTCTGACCTCTTTACCTGCCATTTCTGATAGTGTTATTTCAACCCAAACATATACCAGGGACAGCCTATGTCTCCCACCTTGTCCCCACCTTGGTTTTTGGTTTAGATCTGCAATTAAATACATTGATGCTCATGAGCTATTCAAAAGTGCATGTCCTAGGCATCACTTACTGAGTATCATTCATCCTTAACAATGTCTCCATGAGAGAATCAGGTCTCACTGACTTTTGCATCCTTAATAAACTTTTCCCACTGCCTTGGTACATGGACACCTCACTTGATATAAGGTACTTACCAAAAATGATTTTTTCTTGAGATTTTAGGAAACATTGTCTTGCTTTCAGTGACATGCATGGTGTGTGTTCTCATTCTGGGATTCTATTTTGTTCTATCAGGACCTCTAATTTCTGCCAGTTACTCCATTCATTCTCTTCACCAGAAATCTCCAGAGGACACTTCATTTGTCATAGTGTCTCTACCACTCCTGCTGAACAAGCTTGGGTATGCATAGAAACTGAGGCCAAGTTGTGTCACTGGGCACATTTGGGCATCAACATCAAATGTCTGGCATCAAATCCCAGAATCTCAAACAGGCAAAAAGGAAGGAAAACATGAAACATAATGAAGAATGTAATAATTCAGTTGAAAATGACACACATTAAAAATAGAAGACAAGGACATTAGAGCAGTTATAATTTTATTTAAGTGAAGATGTTGGAGATATTTTTAAATATCAAACTTCATAAGTGCAAACTGTGGTTTACAGTCTGAAATTTTTAAAATGCACTGAATTGAACATTGCAGAAGAAAATATTAATGAACTAGAAGAAATAGCAGTAGAAACTAACACAAATGAAACACACAGAGAAAAATGAATTTAAAAAATAAAAAGCCCATCAGTGGGAAATCTTTAAATACCCTACTGTAGGGGTAAATGGAATCCCTGAAGGGAATGGAGTGGGTAAGAGGGATAGAAAAATATTTAAAACATACTGGATGAAAGCTTTCTAAGCTTCATGAAAACCATAAACCCCAAATATCCCAGAAACATAATGTATCCTAAAGATAAGAAACATGGGCTGACTCTCTTTTCGGACTCAGCCCGCCTGCACCCAGGTGAAATAAACAGCCATGTTGCTCACACAAAGCCTGTTTGGTGGTCTCTTCACATGGACGCGCATGAAATTTGGTGCCGTGACTCAGATCAGGGGACCTCCCTTGGGAGATCCATCCCCTGTCCTTCTGCTCTTTGCTCCGTAAAAAAGATCCACCTACGACCTCAGGTCCTCAGACCCACCAGCCCAAGGAACATCTCACCAATTTTAAATCGGGTAAGCGGCCTCTTCTTACTCTCTTCTCCAACCTCTCTCACTGTCCCTCAACCACTTTCTCCTTTCCACTCTTCAATCTCTCCCTTCTCTTAATTTCAATTCCTTTCATTTTCTGGTAGAGACAAAGGAGACGTGTTTTATCTGTGGACCCAAAACTCTGGCGCCGGTCATGGACTAAGGAAGGCAGCCTTCCCTTGGTGTTTAATCATTGCAGGGACGCCTCTCTGATTATTCACCCAGGTTTCAGAGGTGTCAGACCACGAAGGGATGCCTGCCTTGGTCATTCACTCTTAGCAGCAAGTCCCGCTTTTCTGGGAAAGAGGCAAGTACCCCAACCCCTTCTCTCTGGGTCTCTACCCCTTCTCCACCTTTCTGGGGGGCAAGAAACCCCCAACCCCTTCTCCTTCACTCTTAGCAGCAAGTCCCACTTTTCTAGAGGAGGGGCAAGTACCCCAACCTCATATCTCTGTGCCCCAATCTCTTATTTCTGTGCCCCAACCTCTTATATCTCTGTGCCCCAATCCCTTATTTCCATGCCCTGACCTCTTATCTCTGCACCCTGATCCCTTATTTCCACACCCCGACCTCTTATCTCTGCGCCCCATCCCTTATTTCCATGCCCCGACCTCTTATCTCTGTGCCCCAACCCCTTATATCCATGCCCCAACCCCTTTCCCACTTTTCTGGAAGGTAAGAACCCCCAAACCCCTTCCCTCCGTGTCTCTACTCTTTCTTTTCTCTAGGCTTGCTTTCTTCACTATGGGCAACTTTCCACCCTCCATTCCTCCTTCTTCTCCCTTGGCCTGTGTTCTCAAAAACTTAAAACCTCTTCAACTCACACCTGACCTAAAACCTAAATGCCTTATTTTCTTCTGCAATGCCGCTTGACCCCAATACAAACTCAACAGTAGTTCCAAATAGCCAGAAAATGGCACTTTCAATTTTTGCATCCTGCAAGATCTAAATAATTCTTGTCGTAAAATGGGCAGACGGTCTGAGGTGCCTGACGTCCAGGCATTCTTTCACATATCAGTCCCTCCCTAGTCTCTGTGCCCGGTGCAACTCGTCCCAAATCTTCCTTTTTTCCCTCCCGCCTGTCCCCTCAGTCCCAACCCCAAGCGTCACTGAGTCTTTCTAATCTTCCTTTTCTACAGACCCATCTGACCTCTCCCCTCCTCACCAGGCTGAGCTAGGTCCCAATTCTTCCTCAGCCTCCGCTCCTCCACCCTATAATCCTTTTATCACCTCCCCTGCTCACACCCGGTTTGGCTTACAGCTTCATTCGGTGACTAGCCCTCCCCCACCTGCCCAGCAATTTACTCTTAAAAAGGTGGTTAGAGCTAAAGGCATAGTTAAGGTTAATGCTCCTTTTTCTTTATCCCAAATCAGATAGCATTTAGGCTCTTTTTTGTCAAATATAAAAATCCAGCCCAGTTCATGACTTGTTTGGCAGCAACCCTGAGACACTTTACAGCCCTAGACCCTAAAAGGTCAAAAGGCCGTCTTATTCTCAAAATACATTTTATTACCCAATCTGCTCCCGACATTAAATAAAACTCCAAAAATTAAATTCCAGCCCTCAAACCCCACAACAGGATTTAATTAACCTCGCCTTCAAGGTGTACAATAATAGAAAAAATTTGCAATTCCTTGCCTCCTCTGTGAGACAAACCCCAGCCACATCTCCAGCACACAAGAACTTCCAAACACCTGAACTGCAGCAGCCAGGCGTTCCTCCAGAACCTCCTCCCCCAGGAGCTTGCTACAAGTGCCAGAAATCTGACCACCAGGACAAGGAATGCCTGCAGCCCAGGATTCTTCCTAAGCCGTGTCCCATCTGTGCGGGACCCCACTGAAAATCGGACTGTTCAACTCACCTGGCAGCCACTCCCAGAGCCCCTGGAACTCTGGCCCAAGGCTCTCTGACTGACTCCTTCTTGGCTTAGCGGCTGAAGACTGAGGCTGCCCGATTGCCTCGGAAGCTTCAGACCATCACGGACGCCGAGCTTCAGGTAACTCTCACAATGGAAGGTAAGTCCGTCCCCTTAGTCAATACAGAGGCTACCCACTCCACATTACCTTCTTTTCAAGGGCCTGTTTCCCTTCCCTCCATAACTGTTGTGGGTATTGACAGCCAGGCTTCTAAACCCCTGAAAACTCCCCCACTCTGGTGCCAACTTGGACAACACTCTTTTATGCACTCTTTTTTAGTTATCCCCACCTGCCCAGTTCCCTTATTAGGCTGAGATATTTTAACCAAATTATCTGCTTCCCTGACTATTCCTGGACTACAGCTGCATCTCATTGCCGCCCTTCTCCCCAACCCAAAGCCTCCTTCGCGTCTTCCTCTCGTATCCCCCCACCTTAACCCACAAGTATGGGACATCTCTACTCCATCCCTGGCAACTGATCACATGCCCTTTACCATCCCATTAAAACCTAATCACCCTTACCCTGCTCAACGCCAATATCCCATCCCACAGCACGCTTTAAAAGGATTAAAGCCTGTTATCACTCGCCTGCTACAGCATGGGCTTCTAAAACCTATAACTCTCCTTACAATTCCCCCATTTTACCTGTCCAAAAACCGGACAAGTCTTACAGATTATTTCAGGATCTGCGCCTTATCAACCAAATTGTTTTGCCTATCCACCCTGTAGTGCCCAACCCATACACTCTTTTGTCCTCAATACCTTCCTCCACAACTCACTATTCCATTCTCGATCTTAAAGATGCTTTTTTCACTATTCCCCTGCACCCCTCATCCAAGCCTCTCTTTGCTTTCACTTAGACTGACCCTGACACCCATTAGGCTCAGCAAATTACCTAGGCTGTACTGCTGCAAGGCTTCACAGACAGCCCCCATTACTTCAGTCAAGCCCAAATTTTATCCTCATCTGTTACCTATCTCAGCATAATTCTCATAAAAACACATGTGCTCTCCCTGCTGATCTTGTCCAATTAATCTCCCAAACCTCAATCCCTTACAAAAGAACAACTCCTTTCCTTCCTAGGCATGGTTAGTGCGGTCAGAATTCTTACATAAGAGCCAGGACCACACCCTGTAGCCTTTCTGTCCAAACAACTTGACCTTACTGTTTTAGCCTAGCCCTCATGTCTGTGTGCAGCAGCTGCTGCTGCTTTAATAATTTTAGAGGCCCTAAAAATCACAAACTATGCTCAACTCACTCTTTACAACTCTCATAATTTCCAAAATCTATTTTCTTACTCACACCTGATGCATATGCTTTCTGCTCCCCGGCTCCTTCAGCTATACTCACTCTTTGTTAAGTCTCCACAATTACCATTGTTCCTGCCCCAGACTTCAATCTGGCCTCTCACATTATTCCAGATACCACACCTGACCCTCATGACTGCATCTCTCTGATCCACCTGACGTTCACCCCATTTCCCCACATTTCCTTCTTCCCTGTTTCTCACCCTGATCACACTTAGTTTATTGATGGCAGTTCCACCAGGCCTAATCACCACACACCAGCAAAGGCAGGCTATGCTATAGTACAAGCCACTAGCCCACCTCTTAGAACCTCTCATTTCCTTTCCATCATGGAAATCTATCCTCAAAGAAATAACTTCTCAGTGTTCCATCTGCTATTCTACTACTCCTCATGGATATTATTCAGGCCCCCTCCCTTCCCTACACATCAAGCTCAAGGATTTGCCCCAACCCAGGACTGGCAAATTAGCTTTACTCAACATGCCCCAAGTAAGATAACTAAAATACCTCTTAGTCTAGGTAGACACTTTCACTGGATAAGTAGAGTCCTTTCCTACAGGGTCTGAGAAGGCCACTGCAGTCATTTCTTCCCTTCTGTCAAACAAAATTCTTCAGTTTAGCCTTGTCATTCCCTTCTGTCAGACATAATTCCTCAGTTTAGCCTTCCCACCTCTATACAGTCTGATAACAGACCAGCCTTTATTAGTCAAATCAGCCAAGCATTTTTTCAGGCTCTTAGTATTCAGTGACAGACTAATGCTATTAAAAACACACCTCACAAAGCTCAGCCACCAACTTAAAAAGGACTGGACAATACTTTTACCACTTTTGCTTCTCAGAATTCAGGCCTGTCCTCGGAATGCTACAAGACACTGCCCATTTAAGCTCCTGTATAGACACTCCTTTTTATTAGGCCCCAGTCTCATTCCAGACACCAGACCAACTTAGACTGTGCCCCCAAAAACTTGTCATCCCTACTATCTTCTGTCTAGTCATACTCCTATTCACCGTTCTCAACTACTTATACATGCCCTGCTCTTGTTTACACTGCCAGTTTACACTGTTTCTCCAAGCCATCACAGCTGATATCTCCTGGTACTATCCCCAAACCGCCACTCTTAACTCTTAAAGTAAATAAATAATCTTTGCTGGCAAGGCTATACTGAACCTCCTTAGGCACTCTCTAATTAGATGTCCTAGGTCCTTCCAATTCTTAGTCCTTTAATACCTGTTTTTCTCCTTCTCTTATTCTGTTTAGTTTTTCAATTCATACAAAACTGTATCTAGGCCATCACTAATAATTCTAAATGACAAATGTTTCTTCTAACAACCCCACAATATCACCCCTTACCACAAAATCTTCCTTCAGCTTAATCGCTCCCACTTTAGGTTCCTACGCCTCCCCCAATCCCGCTCAAAGCAGCCCTGAGAAACATCGCCCATTATCTCTCCATACCATCCCCCAAAATTTTCACTGTCCCAACACTTTACCACTATTTTGTTTTATTTTTCTTATTAATATAAGAATACAGGAATGTCAGGCCTCTGAGCCCAAGCTAAGCCATCATATCCCCTGTGGCCTGCACATACACATCCAGATGGCCAGTTCCTGACTTAACTGATGACATTCTACCACAAAAGAAGTGAAAATGGCCTGTTCCTGCCTTAACTGATGACATTGTCTTGTGAAATTCCTTCTCCTGGCTCATCCTGGCTCAAAAGCTCCCCTACTGAGCACCTTGTGACCCCCACTCTGCCTGCCAGAGAACAACCTCCCTTTGACTGTAATTTTCCTTTACCTACACAAATCCTATAAAACGGCCCCACCCCTATCTCCCTTCGCTGACTTTCTTTGGACTCAGCCTGCCTGCACCCAGGTGAAATAAACAGCCATGTTGCTAAAAAATAAATAAATAAATAAATAAATAAATAAATAAATAAATAAGAAACATGAAGAAAACTACACCAAGGAACACCATACTCCAATTGATCAAAACCAGTGATGAAGAGAAACTCCTCAGAGGAATAAAAGGTGAAAAGACATGTTACATACAGAGGACTAACTGTAAGGATGGCATCCAATTTCTCATCAGAACTGTTACAAACAAAAAGTTTGCAATAGCTTTCAAGTACTGAAAAAAGAAAACACTGTCAACCTAGAATTCTATACCCAGTCAAAATATCTTTCAAAACTGAAGATGAGCAAAAAAGTTTTGGAAAGAAAAAAAATTATCTCAATTTGCAGATGACATGACCCTATATAGAGAAAATACCAAATAATAAACACCCCCCCACCCCACCACACACACACACACACACACACACACACACACACACACAATTACTGGAGTTAATAAACTAATTCAGTAAACTTGCAGCATACAAGATAAACAGATAAAAACCAGGTTTGTTAGCAATGAAAAATCTTAAAGGAAAATTAATACATTTCATTTACAATAGCATCCATAAGAATAACATATCTAGGAATAAATTTAAGAAGGTGAAATACATGTACACTAAAAACTACATAACATTGCATAAAAAGATCAAAGAAGAACTAAATAAATGGGAAAACATCCTGTGTCCATGGGTTGGAAAGTTTAATATAGTTAACATAGAAATACTACTCCAAGCAATCTACAGATTCAATACAATCTTATCCAAATTCAGTGGCCTATTTTTTTTTCAGAAATAAAAAAGAAGAACTTCTTATTCAGAAAAAAATTGCAAGTATCCCCAAATAGCAAAAACAATCTTGAAAAACAAGAATAAACACCTCTTATTCCAAAGGTCTTTAATTGCTTCCAGCAATATGGTGTAGTCTTCAGTGTATGGGTTTCCACATCCTTTGCAATGCAGTTTTTATATTTTGATGCTATTGTAAATGTTTGCTTAAAAGAAACTTTTTAAAAATTTTATTAAAATTGTATATATTTAAGGTCTGCAACATGATGTTTCCACATGTATCTACATAATGAACTAATGGCTACATTCAAGCTAATTAGCATATCTACCTCTTCACATAGTTCCTTTTTAAGAGTAATGGAACACACGATCTACTCTTTTAGCAAACTCCAAGTATACAATACAGCATGAACAATAGTCCCCATGCTGTACATTAGGTCTCTAAAACTCATTGTGTAACCAAAAGCAGGTTAGTTGCTCACCACATGCAGAGTGCAATTAAGTGTGAGGCCTGGCACAAAAAAAAAAAAGTGAATTTATTTCCAAAGCTGGCTTGGGGAAAGATGCATAACATGTCCTGCTTTGAATGTGTCACCTCACCTTTGGAGCAAAAAGTGGATTTTTTATAAGTTAAAGGGAGAAGTGAGCAAGGACAGAGGGGTCTCCCTGCTCCCAGGCAGTTATCCACTGGGCAGTCAAGATGGTATCTTTCTGGTCAGAAGTAAGTTGTAAAAGTGACCAGGTGGGAATGCTTTCAACATGCCCTCCTAGTGGGTGTAAGTTCTGAGGTGACCCCAAATGGTGGAAGTTCTGTGATGGGTGTGGTTTGGTCTGCAAATCAACTGTGCACTCTTGAGGAGAGATCTGTCTTGAAACACACAGAAGAATTTGTTCTGAAGGGTGTGTCTGCTGATGGGGAGGTGATAGGTTATGTTTCCATTTCCAAAGGACTACGTAGAAAACATAGAATGGGGGAAAAGGGGAGAGGAGAAGAGAAGAAATAATAATAATAACAATAATAAAAGTAACTCATTCTTTTTATCTTAGGAAAAATTGGGGCACTCTGTTACAATTCATTCTACATAACTGAAGCTCTGTATCCTTTGACCAACATCTCCTCATTCCCCATCTCCCACCCCTCCTCTGGTAACCGCCATTCTACTCTCTGTTTCCATGAATTCAACTTTTTTAGTTTCCATGTATAAGTGAGATCATGCAGTACTTGTTCTGTGTCTGGCTTATTTTGCTTAGCATAATGTCTTTCAGGTTCATCCATATTATCACAAATGACAGGGTTTCCTTCATTTTCATGGCTGAAAAATACTGCATTGTATATGTGTTACATAGACACACACATACTAAAAAAATACACACACACACACACACACACACACACACACACACACCAAAAACACTCTGTGCACTCCTAATAGGTCTGAGTTTTACCTGTAATCATACAGCATGTGTTCTCTTGTTCCTTTGTTTCATTGAAAATTTAGTTTGCAGGGTTTTCTTTCATCTTTATTTTTCTCTGGTTTCCAGAAATAACAATTCTACCTCTTTCCAATGGAACCTTAAAATCCAAGTAAGACAAAATATATTCTGCTGAATGTTTAGACTTCTTTTTTTTTTTGTATTTGACTTTTTAAAAAATGCATGTTTTTTGAGATGGAGTCTCACTCTCACCCAGCCTGGAGTGCAGTGGTGTGATCTCGGCTCACTGCAACCTCTGCTTCCTGGGCTCAGGCAATCCTCCCTCCTCGGCCTCCCTAGTGGCTCTGACCATAGGTATGCACCACCACGTCCAGCTAATTTTTTTTAATTATTTTTGTAGAGACAGGGTTTCACCATGTTGCCTCAGCTGGTCTTGAACTCCTGAGTTCAAATAATCTGCCCGTGTCGGACCTCCCAAAGGGTTGGGATTACAGGCACCAAGGGGGATTTATCCCAGGGATAGAAGGTTAGTTTGATCACTTCGCAATGATAAAAGATTCAACTTACCAAGAGCATATCAGCTTTTGGCCTCAATATATATAAAGGAAAAACTGATAGAGCTCCAAGGGGAGGGCGAGGTCTGGAAGGGTTCCTGCCCCATGGCCCTGGGGGTTCAGCCTTAGCAGACAAGTCTGAGCAAGGGTGGTGGAGTGCAGAACCTTGAGCCTGCTATGCAGGGAGGGAAAGGAAGCTGGCAAAAGAAACAATGAGACTGCAAAACACTTGGGGAGTTTTCAAGAAATTGGTTCAAAGGGATTTTAGTTCTGTGGTCATTCCTCAGTCCTCTTGATGACAGAGAGAACACAAACAGAATGTGTAGATTCCTTTTATAACAAAAATTCTGTGAGAGAAACATAACTAGAAAATACAACTAACTGTACAGAAATCTGTATCAGCTACCTAAAATATGTAGTCTTTCATTTTGACCATGAAACAACAATAAAGGATCACCACATGTTTGGGGGCATGAATGGCAGCATAAAAATCTAAAACTAAGATAAACACAGTAACTAATTCCAGAGAATGTAGTAACAATTCAGGAAACTACAGTCAACAAAAACAAAACTATATAAAGCACCCTCTAATATCCTCAAAAAGAATCAAGATGATACTTAATTAAGAAAAAAACTACCAAGCAAGAAACAAATACTATGAAAAGGGATAAATACAATCAAAGGGATAAAAAGAGCTCTTGGAAGTAAAGATGTGATTGTTGACATGAGTTCAATAGAAGGGTTAAAATATATGATTGAAGAAATGTCCTAGAAAATGACATAGTGATAGAAAATATTTATGAAAAGATAAGATGCAGCCAGGTGCAATGGCTCACACCTGTAATCCCAGCACTTTGGGAGGTTGAATAGGGCAGATCACTTGAGCCCAGGAGTTTGAGACCAGCCTGGGTGACTTAGTGGGACCTCATCTCCAAAAAATAAAATATAAAAATAAATAAATAGCCAGGTGTTGTGGTGAACACCTACAGCCCTGGCTACTTGGGAGGCTGAGGTGGAAGGATCACTTGAGCCCAAGAGGTCAAGGCTGCAGTGAGCTGTGGTCGTGCCACTGTACTCCAGCCTGAGTGACAGAGTAAGACCCTGCCTCAAAAATAAATAATTAAATAAGATGCATAGAGGGTGAGATGGTTAATTTTATGTGTCAGCTTGACTAGACTAAGGGATTTCCGGATAACTGGTGAAATATGATTTCTGAGTATGACTGTGAAGCTGTTTAAGAAAAAGATTAGCATTTCAATCCATACACTGAGTAAAGAAGGTCCACGCTCACCAACGTGGGTGGACATTATCCAGTCATTTGAGAGCCCACATAAAACAAAAAAGCAGAAGAAAGGCAAATACTCTGTTTCTGTCTCTGTCTCTGTCTCTGTCTCTGTCTGTCTGTTTCTCTGTTTTCTTGAGCTAGGGCATCCATCTTCTCCTGCCCTCAGACATCAGAGCTGCTGGTTCTTGGGCCTGAGGACTCTAATACTTACACCAGTGTCCCTGCCCTCCACCCTAGTTCTCAGGCCTTGGACCTTGGACTGGGAATTTCGCCATTAGCTCCCCTGGTTCTCAGGCCTTTGGACTTGGACTTGGAAAGCACCAGCTTTCCTGGTTCTCCAGCTTGCAGAGAGCATATTGTGGAACTCCACACCTTCTAATAATCCCATGAGCCAATTCCTATAATAAACTTCTGATATAGAAATATTTGTCAAAGATTGAATACAAAAAGAATGATTTTCCAAATTCTAATAATAATTTTAGCTATGATGAAACACAGGCTACACAAACAACTGATGAGATAGTAGCTATTTAACTGGCAATAACAACAAAGTGTCTTCAGTATTCAAGACTTCATAGATCCCTATGTTATCTTCAGTCAGATGCTTTGCCTTGAACAAAACAACTATAAAAGATATATATATATATAATCTTTTATAGTTGTTCTGTTCTGTTTCTCTGGAGAACCCTGACTAACACACAAGGTCAACCCAGAAGGTATGACATCCAAGTAATAAGAATTCTAGAGATAGAAAATAGAAGGAAGAAAATTAAGAAAAATAATAGAATACACTAATGCTAAGGAAAAATAAATTTATAGTTAGGAAGAGCCCACTAAATGTCAAGCATAATGAATGAAAAGAGAACCTACCTAAACTCACATTGTAAAATTTCATAACAGCCAGGATAGAAGCATGACTAAAAGCTTGCACAGAGGAAAAACAGGTTGTATATGAAAAATCAGAGTGGCTCAGGCTTCTCAGAAATCACATTAGATGCTAGAAATTAATAGGGTAATTAATGCCTTAACAGCTCTGAGGGAAAGCATTTTTGAACTTGATGCTCAAACTCAGCCAAACTGCCAGTCTAGGAAAAAAGCAAAATTAAATAATTTTTAGACATGCAAGAAATTAACTTTAAGTAAAAATGGCCATTGACCAAACATATTTTTCTCTTTCCCTCCCAAAACCACACAAAAACACCAGTAATGTAATAAAGAAGACAGTACCTAGGGTGGCACAGGAATCTTTCTTTGTCCAAGGATTGTCCCTTTGTGATTACTAAGCACCCCCTTTCACTTTTTTTGTTAGTTTGTTTTTAGACGGAATCTCGCTCTGTCACCCAGGCTGGAGTGCAGTGGCAAGATCTCAGCTCTCTGCAACCTCCACCTCCTGGGTTCAAGCGTTTCTCCTGCCTCAGCCTCCCGAGTACCTGGGATTACAGGCGCCCACCACCACAGCAGGCTGATTTTTGTATTTTTCCAGTAGAGACGGGGTTTCACCATGTTGGCCAGGCTGGTCTCGAACTCCTGACGTCAGGTGATCCACCCACCTTGACCTCCCAAAGTGCTGGGATTACAGGCATGAGCCACCACCCCCGGCCCCCTTCCACTTGCAAAAGGATCTTGGTCTGTATGAAAATTATATGGTCACCCCATAACTAATCTACAAATTAAAAAAAAAAAACTATCAATTTCAACAGATTTGGAGGAGGTGGAAAGCAAATGGAAAAGTGATAACTGACTTAGCAGAATAAAAATTACAACAAATTCTACAGAAGGGAATGCACACAGAAGTTGATTTGCCCTTAAAAACCCCTGGAGGCTTTATTCTCTGGAGAAAATGAAGAAGTTCTTGATTCAATAATACAGAATTCAATAATTTGGTGAGGACTGGAAACACAGGGATTCAGTGAAAAAAATACGCACAATGGATAGCAGGCCTTCTGCCTCTTTCTCTGCTTTGAACCCAGAATCCCAGCAGCCAGGCATACTTGCTTGCTTTGTATGTATCTATAAAAATTAGAAAGAAATGTGTTCCTTGATGGCCCAAAAAACGTAAAAGGAGATAGTGACTATTGCAGGCCCATAATTTCTGCCTTGAGTAGAGCAATGAAGAGGGTGGAAACCCTTCTCCCCTATCCTGGTTGCACAGTCAATTTCTGCATTGCTTGTCCCATCTTCAAAGAGACCAGAACAGTTCTAGGACCCAATACCTTTCACTGAAGGTTTCCATCTATAGGACCCTGCATTTGGTAAGGAATACATAGTGAGTACAACTTTTTGACCAGTCTCTGTCTTTTGGTGTCAAAATTTCTACCTTATAGAGAGAATCACAGAATGGTTTAGGTCCACCTCTACACACCTCCCCATAAAAAGGAGGCTTCTCTAATTTTGTCCTTCCTTAGAACACTAGAGCTACATTATTAGACTGTGTTTAATTATTTTTTTTACAGATCTGTCTTCATCACTAAACTCCAAAATGCATATGGTTGAGAATAATATATATTTGGTTTTTGTACCATCAAGACGGGTTCAGTGCCTGGCAGCTTGCTGAAGAAATTAGTCTAGTAGATTACTGGTAATGAAGTCATTTGCACATGAGAGCATCACATAATAATATTAACACCTCTGAAATCCTTCTTTCAAAAATTATCAAACATTCATGATGTTGCAGGAAGTCAGGGACCCCAAACAGAGGGACCGGCTAAAGCCATGGCAGAAGAACATAAATTGTGAAGATTTCATGGACATTTATCACTTCCCCTAACAATACTCTTATAATTTCCTATGCCTGTCTTTACTTTAATCTCTTAATCCCATCATCTTCATAAGCTGAGGTTGTATGTCACCTCAGGATCCTGTGATGATTGCATTAACTGTACAAATTGTTTGTAAAACATGTGTGTTTGAACAACATGAAATCAGGGCACCCTGAAAAAGAACAGAACAACAGCGATCTTCAGGGAACAAGGGAAGATAACCTTAAGGTCTGACTGCCTGCAGGGTCGGGCAGAATAGAGCCATATTTTTCTTCTTGCAGAAAGCGAGTAGGAGAAATATTGCTGAATTCTTTTCTCAGCAAGGAATAACCCTGGGGAAGGAATGCATTCCCGGGATAGGTCTATAGACAGCCACTCTGGGAGTATCTGTCTTATGCAGTTGAAGATAAGGGATGAAATATGCCCTGGTCTCCTGCAGTGCCCTCAGGCTTACCAGGATTGGGAAATTCCAGCCTGGTGAATTCTAGTGAGACCAGTTGTCTGCTCTCGAACCCTGTTTCCTGTTAAGATGTTTATCAAGACAATGCATGCCCAGCGGGACATGGAACCTCATCAGTAATTCTAATTTCGCCCTCTGCCTTGTGATCTTTTATTGCCCTCTGAAGCATGTGATCCCTGTGACCTATCCCTATTCATACACCGCTCCCCTTTTGAAATCCCTAGTAAAAACTTGCTGGTTTTAGGGGGCAGCCAAGATGGCCAAATAGGAACAGCTCCAGTCTACAGCTCCCAGCACGAGCGACGCAGAAGACGGGTGATTTCTGCATTTCCATCTGAGGTACCGGGTTCATCTCACTAGGGAGTGCCAGACAGTGGGCTCAGGACAGTGGGTGCAGCACACCGTGCATGAGCCCAAGCAGGGCGAGGCATTGCCTCACTCGAGAAGTGCAAGTGGTCAGGTAGTTCCCTTTCCTAGTCAAAGAAAGGGGTGACAGATGGCACCTGGAAAATCAGGTCACTCCCACCCTAATACTGCGCTTTTCCGACGGGCTTAAAAAACAGCGCACCAGGAGATTATATCCCGCACCTGGCTCGGAGGGTCCTACACCCAGGGAGTCTCACTGACTGCTAGCACAGCAGTCGGAGATCAAACCGCAACGTGGCAGCGAGGCTGGGGGAGGGGCGCCAGCCATTGCCCAGGCTTGCTTAGGTAAACAAAACAGCCGGGAAGCTCAAACAGGGTGGAGCCCACCACAGCTCAAGGATGCCTGCCTGCCTCTGTAGGCTCCACCACTGGGGGCAGGGCACAGACAAACAAAAAGACAGCAGTAAACTCTGCAGACTTAAATGTCCCTGTCTGACAGCTTTGAAGAGAGCAGTGGTTCTCCCAGCATGCAGCTGGAGATCTGAGAACAGGCAGACTGCCTCCTCAAGTGGGTCCCTGACCCCTGACCCATGAGCAGCCTAACTGGGAGGCACCCCCGAGTAGGGGCAGACTGACACCTCACATGGCCGGATACTCCTCTGAGACAAAACTTTCAGAGGAATGATCAGACAGCAGCATTCACAGTTCATGAAAATCCACTGTTCTGCAGCCACCACTGCTGTTACCCAGGCAAACAGGGTCTGGAGTGGACCTCTAGCAAACTCCAACAGACCTGCAGCTGAGGGTCCTCTCTGTTAGAAGGAAAACTAACAAACAGAAAGGACATCCACACCAAAAACCCATCTGTACATCACCATCATCAAAGACCAAAAGTAGATAAAACCACAAAGATGGGAAAAAAACAGAGCAGAAAAACTGGAAACTCTAAAAAGCAGAGCACCTCTCCTCCTCCAAAGGAACGCAGTTCCTCACCAGCAATGGAACAAAGCTGGACAGAGAATGACTTTGATGAGTTGAGAGAAGAAGGCTTCAGACGATCAAACTACTCCAAGCTACAGGAGGAAATTCAAACCAAAGGCAAAGAAGTTAAAAACTTTGAAAAAACTTTAGACGAATGTATAACTAGAATAACCAATACAGAGAAGTGCTTAAAGGAGCTGATGGAGCTGAAAGCCAAGGCTCGAGAATTACATGAAGAATGCAGAAGCCTCAGGAGCTGATGCGATCAACTGGAAGAAAGAGTATCAGTGATGAAAGATGAAATGAATGAAATGAAGTGAGAAGGGAAGTTTAGAGAAAAAAGAATTAAAAAAAATGAACAAAGCCTCCAAGAAATACAGGACTATGTGAAAAGACCAAATCTACGTCTGATTGGTGTACCTAAAAGTGACGGGGAGAATGGAACCAAGTTGGAAAACACTCTGCAGGATATTATCCAGGAGAACTTCCCCAATCTAGCAAGGCAGGCGAACGTTCAGATTCAGGAAATACAGAGAACACCACAAAGATACTCCTCGAGAAGAGCAACTCCAAGACATAATTGTCAGATTCACCAAAGTTGAAATGAAGGAAAAAATGTTAAGGGCAGCCAGAGAGAAAGGTCGGGTTACCCACAAAGGGAAGCCCATCAGACTAACAGCTGATCTCTCGGCAGAAACTCTACAAGCTGAAAGAGAGTGGGGGCCAATATTCAACGTTCTTTTTTATTTATTTATTTATTTATTTATTTATTTATTTATTTATTTATTGATAATTCTTGGGTGTTTCTCACAGAGGGGGATTTGGCAGGGTCATGGGACAATAGTGGAGGGAAGGTCAGCAGATAAACAAGTGAACAAAGGTCTCTGGTTTTCCTAGGCAGAGGACCCTGCGGCCTTCCGCAGTGTTTGTGTCCCTGGTTACTTGAGATTAGGGATTGGTGATGACTCTTAACGAGCATGCTGCCTTCAAGCATCTGTTTAACAAAGCACATCTTGCACCGCCCTTAATCCATTTAACTCTGAGTGGACACAGCACATGTTTCAGAGAGCACAGGGTTGGGGGCAAGGTCACAGATCAACAGGATCCCAAGGCAGAGGAATTTTTCTTAGTGCAGAACAAAATGAAAAGTCTCCCATGTCTACTTCCTTCCACACAGACACGGCAACCATCCGATTTCTCAATCTTTTCCCCACCTTTCCCGCCTTTCTATTCCACAAAGCCGCCATTGTCATCCTGGCCCGTTCTCAATGAGCTATTATTGGGCACACCTCCCAGACGGGGTGGTGGCCGGGCAGAGGGGCTCCTCACTTCCCAGTAGGGGTGGCCGGGCAGAGGCGCCCCTCACCTCCCGGACGGGGCGGCTGGCCGGGCAGGGGGGCTGACCCCCTCCACCTCCCTCCCGGACGGGGCGGCTGGCCGGGCGGGGGGCTGAACCCCCCACCTCCCTCCCGGACGGGGCGGCTGGCTGGGCAGAGGGGCTCCTCACTTCCCAGTAGGGGCGGCCGGGCAGAGGCGCCCCTCACCTCCCGGACGGGGCGGCTGGCCGGGCGGGGGGGCTGACCCCCCCCACCTCCCTCCCGGACGGGGCGGCTGGCCGGGCGGGGGGCTGACCCCCCCACCTCCCTCCCGGACGGGGCGGCTGGCCGGGCGGGGGGCCGACCCCCCCACCTCCCTCCCGGATGGGGCGGCTGGCCGGGCGGGGGGCCGACCCCCCCACCTCCCTCCCGGACGGGGCGGCTGGCTGGGCAGAGGGGCTCCTCACTTCCCAGTAGGGGCGGCCGGGCAGAGGCGCCCCTCACCTCCCAGACGGGGCGGCTGGCCGGGCGGAGGGCTGACCCCCCCACCTCCCTCCCAGACAGTGCGGCTGGCCGGGCGGGGGGCTGACCCCCCCACCTCCCTCCCGGATGGGGCGGCTGGCCGGGCAGAGGGGCTCCTCACTTCCCAGTAGGGGCGGCCGGGCAGAGGCGCCCCTCACCTCCCAGACGGGGCGGCTGGCCGGGGGGAGGGCTGACCCCCCCACCTCCCTCCCGGACAGGGCGGCTGGCCAGGCGGGGGGCTGACCCCCCCCACCTCCCTCCCGGACAGGGCGGCTGGCCGGGTTGGGGGGCTGACCCCCCCATCTCCCTCCCGGACGGGGTGGCTGGCCGGGCTGAGGGGCTCCTCACTTCCCAGTAGGGGCGGCCGGGCAGAGGCGCCCCTCACCTCCCGGACGGGGCGGCTGGCCGGGCGGGGGGCTGACCCCCCCACCTCCCTCCCGGACGGCACGGCTGGCCAGGCGGGGGGCTGACCCCCCCACCTCCCTCCCGGACGGCACGGCTGGCCGGGCAGGGGGGCTGACCCCCCACCTCTCTCCCGGATGGGGCGGCTGGCCGGGCGGGGGGCTGACCCCCCCCCACCTCCCTCCCGGACGGGGTGGCTGCTGGGCGGAGACGCTCCTCACTTCCCAGATGGGGTGGCTGCTAGGCGGAGAGGCTCCTCACTTCTCAGACGGGGCAGCTGCCGGGCGGAGGGGCTCCTCACTTCTCAGACGGGGTGGTTGCCAGGCAGAGGGTCTCCTCACTTCTCAGACGGGGCGGCCGGGCAGAGACGCTCCTCACCTCCCAGATGGGGTCTCGGCCAGGCAGAGGCGCTCCTCACATCCCAGATGGGGCGGCGGGGCAGAGGCGCTCCCCACATCTCAGACGATGGGCGGCCGGGCAGAGATGCTCCTCACTTCCTAGATGTGATGGCGGCTGGGAAGAGGCGCTCCTCACTTCCTAGATGGGATGGCGGCCAGGCGGAGACGCTCCTCACTTTCCAGACTGGGCAGCCAGGCAGAGGGGCTCCTCACATCCCAGACGATGGGTGGCCAGGCAGAGACGCTCCTCACTTCCCAGACGGGGTGGCGGCCGGGCAGAGGCTGCAATCTCGGCACTTTGGGAGGCCAAGGCAGGCGACTGGGAGGTGGAGGTTGTAGTGAGCCGAGATCACGCCACTGCACTCCAGCCTGGGCACCATTGAGCACTGAGTGAACGAGACTCCATCTGCAATCCCGGCACCTTGGGAGGCCGAGGTTGGCGGATCACTCGCGGTTAGGGGCTGGAGACCGGCCCGGCCAACACAGCGAAACCCCGTCTCCACCAAAACCAATCAGGCGTGGCGGCGCGTGCCTGCAATCGCAGGCATTCGGCAGACTGAGGCAGGAGAATCAGGCAGGGAGGTTGCAGTGAGCCGAGATGGCAGCAGTACAGTCCAGCTTCGGCTCTGCATGAGAGGGAGACCATGGGGAGACGGAGAGGGAGAGGGAGAGGGAGAGGGAGAGGGAGAGGGAGAGGGAGAGGTCAACATTCTTAAAGAAAAGAATTTTCAACCCAGAATTTCATATCCAGCCAAACAGCTTCATAAGTGAAGGAGAAATAAAATACTTTACAGAGAAGCAAATGCTGAGAGATTTTATCACCACCAGGCCTGCCCTAAAAGAGCTCCTGAAGGAAGCACTAAACATGGAAAGGAACGAGTACCAGCCACTGCAAAATCATGCCAAATTGTAAAGACCATCAAGGCTAGGAATAAACTGCATCAACAAACGAGCAAAATAACCAGCTAACATCATAATGACAGGATCAAATTCACACATAATAATATTAACTTTAAATGTAAATGGACTAAATGCTCCAGTTAAAAGAAACAGACTGGCAAATTGGATAAAGAGTCAAGACCCATCAGTGTGCTGTATTCAGGAAACCCATCTCACATGCAGAGACACACATAGGCTCAAAATAAAAGGATGGAGGAAGATCTACCAAGCAAATGGAAAACAAAAAAAGGCAGGGATTGCAATCCTAGTCTCTGATAAAACAGACTTTAAACCAACAAAGATCAAAAGAGGCAAAGAAGGCCATTACATAATGGTAAAGGGATCAATTCAACAAGAAGAGCTAACTATCCTAAATATATATGCACCCAATACAGGAGCACCCAGATTCATAAAGCAAGTCCTGAGTGACCTACAAAGAGACTTAGACTCCCACACAATAATAATGGGAGACTTTAACACCACACTGTCAACATTAGACAGATCAAAGAGACAGAAAGTTAACAAGGATACCCAGGAATTGAACTCAGCTCTGCACCAAGCAGACCTAATAGAAATCTACAGAACTCTCCACCCCAAATCAACAGAATATACATTTTTTTCAGCACCACACCACACCTATTCCAAAATTGACCACATAGTTGGAAGTAAAGCTCTTCTCAGCAAATGTAAAAGAACAGAAATTATAGCAAACTGTCTCTCAGACCACAGTGCAATCAAACTAGAACTCAGGATTAAGAAACTCACTCAAAACCGCTCAACTACATGGAAACTGAACAACCTGCTCCTGAATGACTACTGGGTACATAACGAAATGAAGGCAGAAATAAAGATGTTCTTTGAAACCAATGAGAACAAAGACACAACATACCAGAATCTCCGGGACACATTCAAAGCAGTGTGTAGAGGGAAATTTATAGCACTAAATGCCCACAAGAGAAAGCAGGAAAGATCCAAAATTGACGCCCTAACATCACAATTAAAAGAACTAGAAAAGCAAGAGCAAACACATTCAAAAGCTAGCAGAAAGCAAGAAATAACTAAAATCAGAGCAGAACTGAAGGAAATAGAGACACAAAAAACCCTTCAAAAAATTAATGAATCCAGGAGCTGGTTTTTTGAAAGGATCAACAAAATTGATAGACCGCTAGCAAGACTAATAAAGAAGAAAAGAAGGAAGAATCAAATAGATTCAATAAAAAATGATAAAGGGGATATCACCACCGATCCCACAGAAATACAAACTACCATCAGAGAATACTACAAACACCTCTATGCAAATAAACTAGAAAAATCTAGAAGAAATGGATAAATTCCTCGACACATACACCCTCCCAAGACTAAACCAGGAAGTAGTTGAATCTCTGAATAGACCAATAACAGGCTCTGAAATTGTGGCAATAATCAATAGCTTACCAACCAAAAAGAGTCCAGGACCAGACGGATTCACAGCCAAATTCTACCAGAGGTACAAGGAGGAACTGGTACCATTCCTTCTGAAACGATTCCAATCAATAGAAAAAGAGGGAATCCTCCCTAACTCATTTTATGAGGCCAGCATCATCCTGATACCAAAGCCGGGCAGAGACACAACCAAAAAAGAGAATTTTAGACCAATGTCCTTGATGAACATTGATGCAAAAATCCTCAATAAAATACTGGCAAACTGAATCCAGCAGCACATCAAAAAGCTTATCCACCATGATCAAGTGGGCTTCATCCCTGGGATGCAAGGCTGGTTCAATATATGCAAATCAATAAATGTAATCCAAAGACAAAACCACATGATTATATCAATAGATGCAGAAAAGTCCTTTGACAAAATTCAACAACGCTTCATGCTAAAAACACTCAATAAATTAGGTATTGATGGGACGTATCTCAAAATAATAGGAGCTATCTATGACAAACCCACAGCCAATATCATACTCAATGGGCAAAAACTGGAAGCATTCCCTTTGAGAACTGGCACAAAACAGGGATGCCCTCTCTCACCACTCCTATTCAACATAGTGTTGGAAGTGCTGGCCAGGGCAATTAGGCAGGAGAAGGAAACAAAGGGTATTCAATTAGGAAAAGAGGAAGTGAAATTGTCCCTGTTTGCAGATGACATGATTGTATATCTAGAAAACCCCATTGTCTCAGCCCAAAATCTCCTTAAGCTGATAGGCAACTTCAGCAAAGTCTCAGGATACAAAATCAATGTACAAAAATCACAAGCATTCTTATACACCAATAACAGACAAACAGAGAGCCAAATCATGAGTGAACTCCCATTCACAATTGCTTCAAAGAGAGTAAAATACCTAGGAATCCAACTTACAAGGGATGTGAAGGACCTCTTCAAGGAGAACTGCAAACCACTGCTTAATGAAATAAAAGAGGATACAAACAAATGGAAGAACATTCCATGCTCATGGGTAGGAAGAATCAATATGGTGAAAATGGCCATATTGCCCAAGGTAATTTGTAGATTCAATGCCATCCCCATCAAGCTACCAATGACTTTCTTCACTGAATTGGAAAAAACTGCTTTAAAGTTCATATGGAAACAAAAAAGAGCCTGCATCGCCAAGTCAATCCTAAGCCAAAAGAACAAAGCTGGAGGCATCACACTACCTGACTTCAAACTATACTACAAGGCTACAGTAACCAAAACAGCATGGTACTGGTACCAAAACAGAGATATAGATCAATGGAACAGAACAGAGCCCTCAGAAATAACACCGCATATCTACAACTATCTGATCTTTGACAAACCTGAGAAAAACAAGCAATGGGGAAAGGATTCCCTATTTAATAAATGGTGCTGGGAAAACTGGCTAGCCATATGTAGAAAGCTGAAACTGGATCCCTTCCTTACGCCTTATACAAAAATTAATTCAAGATGGATTAAAGACTTAAACATTAGACCTAAAACCATAAAAACCCTAGAAGAAAACCTAGGCAATACCATTCAGGACATAGGCATGGGCAAGGACTTCATGTCTAAAACACCAAAAGCAATGGCAACAAAAGCCAAAATTGACAAATGGGATCTAATTAAACTAAAGAGCTTCTGCACAGCAAAAGAAACTACCATCAGAGTGAACAGGCAACCTCCAAAATGGGAGAAAATTTTCGCAACCTACTCATCTGACAAAGGGCTAATATCCAGAATCTACAATGAACACCAACAAATTTACAAGAAAAAAACAAACAACCCCATCAAAAAGTGGGCAAAGGACATGAACAGACACTTCTCAAAAGAAGACATTTATGCAGCCAAAAAACACATGAAAAAATGCTCACCATCACTGGCCATCAGAGAAATGCAAATCAAAACCACAATGAGATACCATCTCACACCAGTTGGAATGGCAATCATTAAAAAGTCAGGAAACAACAGGTGCTGGAGAGGATGTGGAGAAATAGGAACACTTTTACACTGTTGGTGGGACTGTAAACTAGTTCAACCATTGTGGAAGTCAGTGTGGCGATTCCTCAGGGATCTAGAACTAGAAATATCATTTGACCCAGCCATCCCATTAGTGGGTATATACCCAAAGGACTATAAATCATGCTGCTATAAAGACACATGCACATGTATGTTTATTGCGGCACTATTCACAATAGCAAAGACCTGGAACCAACCCAAATGTCCAACAATGATAGACTGGATTAAGAAAATGTGGCACATATACACCATGGAATACTATGCAGCCATAAAAAATGATGAGTTCATGTCCTTTGTAGGGACATGGATGAAATTGGAAATCATCATTCTCAGTAAACTATCACAAGGACAAAAAACCAAACACCGCATATTCTCACTCACAGGTGAGAATTGAACAATGAGAACACATGGACACAGGAAGGGGAACATCACACTCGGGACTGTTGTGGGGTTGGGGGAGAGGGGAGGGATAGCATTAGGAGATATACTTAATGCTAAATGACAGGTTAATGGGTGCAGCACACACCAGCTTGGCACATGTATACATATGTAACTAACCTGCACATTGTGCACATGTACCCTAAAACTTAAAGTATAATAATAATAAAATTAAAAAATTAAAATTAAAATTAAAAAATTAAAAAATAAAAATAAATTAGAAAAATACTTGCTGGTTTTGCGTCTCAGGTGGGCATCACAGAAACTGCTGATATGTGATGTCATCCCCAGAGGCCCAGCTGTAAAATTTCTCTCTTTGTACTCTTTCTCTTTATTTCTCAGACTGGCTGACACTTAGGGAAAATAGAAAAGAACCTATGTTGAAATACTGGGGGCTGGTTCCCCCAATACATATCACTCAAAATCATACACATGAACTATGCAACATACCTGCAGCAGGATTTTCAGATGGTCTAATGGCATTGTGCATGTCTGAGGATATGTACCAACTATGCCTCCAGCCAATAGATATTTCCACAACAGGCTAGATTTTCTTCCTTCATCAATGAAATTATGAAAAGTCCATTTATCTCCCATATCAATTCCTTGCTTTAAAAAAATTAATAATAATTAGATGATCTCAAATAAAAATTTTATCTCCTTATAAGATCTAAATAATGCTTTAAATATCTCAGATCCACAGTAAATTAATATCCTCTCCAAGAACATTGGGCTTCACTGACTAGCACAATTTAAAATAACTCATGAATAAGCTTGAGGTACCGTCAATTATAAATTAATAAAGAAACTATTTTAAAATTCATATGGAACCAAAAAAAAGAGCTCATATAGCCAAGACAATCCTAAGCAAAAAGAACAAAGCTGGAGGCATCATCACGCCACTAGACTTCAAACTATGCTACAAGGCTACAGTAACCAAAACAGCAAGGTACTGGTACAAAAAACAGACACATAGACCAATGGAACAAAATAGAGAACTCAGAAATAAGACCACACATCTGCAATCATCTGATCTTCAACAAACCTGACAAAAACGAGCAATGGTGAAAGCTTCCCTATTTAATAAATTGTGCTGGGAGAACTGGCTAGCCATACACAGAAAATTGAAACTGGGCCCCTTCCTTACTCCTTATACAAAAATTAACTCAAGATCGATTTAAAGACTTAAATGTAAAACCCAAAACTATAAAAACCCTAGAAGAAAATCTAGGCAATACCATTCAGGACATAGGCACAGGAAAAGATTGCATGATGAAATCACCAAAAGCAATTCCAACAAAAGCAAAAATTGACAAGTGGGATCTAATTAAACTAAAGAACTTCTGTACAGCAAAAGAAACTATCATAACAGTGAACAGACAACCTACAGAATGGGAAAAAATTATTGCAATCTATCCATCTGATAAAGGTCTAATATCCAGAATCTACGAGGAACTTAGACAAATTGACAAGAAAAAACAAATGACTCCATTAAAAAGTGGGCAAAGGACATGAACAGATACTTCTCAAAAGAAGACATTCATGTGGCCAACAAACATATTTAGAAAAAAAAGAGCTTGACATCACTGATCATTAGAGAAATGCAAATCAAAATCGCAATGAGACACCAACTCACACCAGTCAGAATGCCAATTATTAAAAAGTCAAGAAAAAACAGATGCTGGAGAGATTGCAGAGAAATAGGAACACTTTTACACTGTTAGTAGGACTATAAATTAGTTCACCCATTGTGGAAGACAATGTGGTGATTCCTCAATGATCTAGAACCAGAAATACCATTTGACTCAAATTCCATTACTTGGTATAGACCCGAAGGAATATAAATATTTATATTACAAAGATACATGAACACATATGTTCATTGCAGCACTACAGCAAACACATGTCACAATAGCAAAGACATGGAATCAACCTAAATACCCATCAATGACTGACTGAATAAAGAAAATATGATACATATTCTCCATGGAATACTATGCAGCCATAAAAAGGAATGAGTTCATGTCCTTTGCAGGGACATGGATGAAGCTAAAAGCCATTATCCTCAGCAAACTAACACGGGAACAGAAAACCAAACACTGCATGTTCTCACTTATAAGTGGGAGCTGAACAATGAGAACACACGGACACAGGGAAGGGAACAACACACACTGGGGCCTGTTGGGGGTGGGTGGGAGGAGGGAGAGCATTAGGAAAAATAGCTGATGCTTGCTGGGCTTAATACCTAGGTGATGGGTTGATAGTTACAGCAAATCACCATCACACACATTTATCTATGTAACGAATTTGCATATCCTACACATGTACCCTAGAATTAAAATAAAAATAAAAATTATAAAAACAGGCCAGGCATGGTGGCTCATGCCTGTCCTCTCAGCACTTTTGGAGGCCAAGGCAGACAGATCACTTGAGGTCAGGAGTTTGAGACCAACCTAGCTAACATGGTGAAACCCCATCTCTACTAAAACTACAAAAATTAGCTGGGTGCAGTGGCATGCGCCTGTATCCCAGCTACTCCGGAGGCTGAGGAAGGAGAATTGCTTGAACCTGGGAGGCAGAAGTTGCAGTGGGCCAAGATCACACCACTGTACTCCAGCCTGGGTTACAAAGCAAGACTCTATCTCAAAAAAAAAAAAAAAAAGTAAGAAAGTAATGGCAGAAACCACAATTACTTTTGCACCAACCTAATATCTTCAGTCAGACTCTTTACTTTTAATGAAATAAATATAAAATATACAACACACATTTAAAGCAGTTTCCTTTTACATCTTTACCTACAGTGGATGTGACAAAAAACTAAGTCTTTCCATGTAGTGCCCAAAGCAGATAGTAAGCTCTGCTACACATATATCATAAAATAGGAATATTTTGAGGGCCCAGAAGGTTGATAACATTTATCATGATCAAGGACTTGGGCTCAGGAGCCAGATAGAATTCAAATTCTGACCTCCTGAATTCCTAATTGAACGATCTCTCTGGGTCTCCATTTCCTCAAATGCAAACTGAAGCCAATAGTAATACCTACTTTGTTGGGTTCTTAAGATTAAATGACTTAAAAGTACACAAAGTACTTATCACAGTGCTTCGCACTAAAAGAGTTTCAGTGAATGTTAGTTACTGGTATTATCAGTTGTAAAACACAGACTGTTTGGTGGCATTTTGGCCTCCAGTGCCTATGCTATGCATAGTCATTAGCAATAATGTGACTGAAAAATAGGTATCTGTTACATAAATAAAAACTAACATTTGCAGAGCAAAGTCAGCACTATATTAAAGCTATATGTGTCATCTTTAATTTTCATAATAACCCTGAGAGGTACTATCATCCCAGTTTTAGAGTTAAGAAAACTGAGGCCCAAAGAGATTAAATAATTTATCCCAATTCACCCAGTAAGTGGCAGAGCCGGGATTTGAACCAAAGCAGCCTGAATCCAGAGCCTGCACTCCGTATTCCACCCCGAAAACGGGCTGTTTTCTACTTCTTTGCTGTACAGCTATACTGCTAAACCTATTTGTTTCTCATGAAATTACTATAAGCCAAAATGTGAATGTGCCCCTGGAACAAATGAAGCACCCTTTGTTAGCACTATACTCAAAAAGACAGTTTATTGAATTTAATTTATATTTCTTTACTAGGTTGTCACAGACAATATGTCATTTAGTCTTCAAAATAGCTATTTCCCATGTATTTATCTTCCTTTTATCTTCATTATCAAACAGAAAGTTTATCCTATGGTAGGCATATAACAAATATAGTTTTTCACTGACTTGAATTTCCTTTAATCATCTTTAAGAGTACAGAGGAAAAAGCACCAAAAAGATAACATATTCTCTTAATGATTATATATGTTTTAAATTAAAATAATGTTGGTAACTGAAGAGTGTCATAAGTAACATGGTAAGAATTAAGAAGACACACTATTCAATCTAAGGCTATAGTGGAATGTCTTTTATTTTTCTACCTGTCAATATTAATGTGATTCTACTGATCATCTCTCTTTCTCAGAGCAATCTCTTAGAGATATAGGAAAAGCTGTAGAGCTTCATGCAAAACTCCTTTTCACTTAGTTCAGTTTCCTCAGAAGGCAGTTAAAAGGAGTCAGGTTAGGCTTAGATTTCATATATTTGATTTGGGCATCTTGGGATTTGGGGAGTTATAGAAAATAGGAGGGCAGCAGGTTGGTATTTATTGCAACTTTTTCTTCAACACATAGACTATTAAAAGAAAGTCTCAATGTTAAAGAAAAATGAAAGAAAAAAGATAGACTTCATAAAGAAACAATAGATGTCACAGATTTGAAATACAAGTTTCAGCTCAAGGTTCTTTATTTCCTACCAATAATTGATAATAACAGCTAATACGTATGGTGTTTAACGTGTGTCAGATGCTGTTGCAAGTGCTTTACATATATTAACTACTTTAATCCTCAAAACAAACTAAGGTGTAGTTCCTGTTCACAAGGCACTGTATTCAGTATTTTAGTACGACTGTCTCATGAATCCTCTCATCAGCCCTATGGAGTAGGTAATATCCCTCTATAGTTGAAAAAAATGAGGCTTAGAAAGGTTAAACGATGTCTCCAAGGTCACAGGGCTACTAAGTAGGGGCACTAAGAAGCACACCCTGGAAGTATGATTCTAGAGTTCATGATCTTAAATGTTACACTACCCTCCTTACCTTTAGAGGCCAGTTACTCAGGTGCAGTGGCTCATACCTGTAATCTCAGCATTTTGGGGGGCTGAGGCAAGCAGATCACTTGAGGTCAGGAGTTCGAAACCAGCCAAACATGGTGAAACCCTGTCTGTACTAAAAATACAAAAAATTTAGCTAGGCATGGTGGCACATGCCTGTAATCCCAGCTACTCAGGAGGCTGAGGCAGGAGAATTGCTTGAACCTGGGAGGTTGCAGTGAGCCAAGATCACGCCACCGCACTCCAACCTGGGCAACAGAACGAGAGACTCTGTCTCAAAAAAATAAAAAAAGAAGAGGCCAGTTATTTAACCTCTCTCTGCCTTGGTTTCCTCATCTATAACATAGGAACAATAATCCCTACCTCAGAGTTGTAGAAGCATATTGTGGTACACAGAAGAACAGTGTAGATCATAACTGGGAATCACCAAGCAAAATTTTTAGGAAATTTTTTAAAACGTTTTCAATTTTAAGACTTTTTTTTTTTTTTTTTTTTTTGAGAGAGAGAGAGTTTCACTCTTGTTGCCCAGGCTGGAGTGCAATGGTGTGTGATCTGGGCTCAGTGCAACCTCTGCCTCCCGGATTGAAGCAATTCTTCTGCCTCAGCCTCGCAAGTAGCTGGGATTACAGGCATGCGCCAACAAGGCAGGCTAATTTTGGTATTTTTAGTAGAGGCGGCGTTTCACCATGTTAGTCAGGCTGGTCTTGAACTCCTGACCTCAGGTGATCCGCCCTCCTCGGCCTCCCAAAGTGCTGGGATACAGGCATAAGCCACCGCACCCAGCCTCAAATTTTAAGATATTTTGAAGCATAGATCTCTAAGAGTACTTGGAGGCAAATGCTATGCAGACTATGATATATATATGACTATGAGCCTTGCCACTCTTTCAAGAGAATTTCAGTTATGGTTTATACATTCATCCAGTAAATATTGGGAAAGCATTATCTAAATCTGCAACTCACAATTCCTACTTTCAGGCAAGTAAATAGGCAACTATCCTACAGAATGATGGTGCTGAGTAGGAGTAATCGACTCTTAAGAGTGTAGTTGTTCTCAATAAATGGATGCCTTTTGCAAATTGAGACTTTGGTTGAAGTAGATATTATATGCCAATTCTTCTTGGCATTGTACAAATTTCTAATGAAGCAACATTCTATAGCATCACTTGTTTAATCAGCAAGATCCACTAGCAAATCTAATAGTTTATAATGCATTACATTTTTATGCCCTTGACGCATAGCATAAAATATACCAATAGTAAGAAAAAGACCACTTTCAGTAACGTGTTTCCAGTAATGGGCAACTTCTTCAACATCTTTTTTTTGCAGGTTTAAGAAAAAATTTTTCCTCCATTCAACCCAATCCACTGTCATGGACCCATCAATATCCGTGCTGTATATTATTTAAGAAGAATATGCTCAAATATAAATTATGATTCATATATTTCAAAAAACATTATCAAAATGACATATTCTTAAAGCCAGAAAAGTCGGATTGTAGTTGCGTTCTTCCTGTTGTTACTTTTGTGATATAGAGTCCACTTAACATCTCTGAACTTCAGTTTATGTGAGAATAATTCCTATAACACAGAGCTATTAGACTATTAAATAAGTTTATGTGTACAATGGCCTTATAAATTACACAACTACAGAACTTGTAAGTCAGTAGTACTGCATCCCAATTTTCTAGTATTTCTTCTTAAACATTTCTCCTTCTTTCTGTCTTATAACCTCATTTTATAACTTCTTGCATGTTCTCTAGCAAAGAATGGTTGACAATTACCCTTTTTGGTTATGGATCTTACAAGACAATATACATTTTCTATGGCTATAAAATATCCAGTATCCAAAATAGCAAGACGTCCATATATTCTTGGAAATATAATTCCCATTAATATGAAATAATTTCCCATTAATATGAAATAATAGTTTTGAAGCCAACTTTTTTTGAGACAGGGTCTTACTATGTTGCCCAGGCTAGTCTTGAACTTCCAAGTTCAAGCTATGCTTCTGCCTCAACCTCCTAGTAGCTGGATCTACAGGCAAGTACCACTGTCCCTGGCTCAAGTCAATTTTTAAAATTTTAGGAATTCTCTACTATGCAGCCATAAAAAAGAATGAGTCCATGTCCTTTGCAGAGACATGGAAGAAGCTTGAAACCATCATTCTCAGCAAACTAATATAGGAAGAGAAAACCAAAGACCGCATGTTCTCACTCATAAGTGGGAGTTGAACAATGAGAACACGTGGACACAGGGAGGGGAACATCACACACTGGGGCCTGTCAGGGGGTGCGGGAGAAGGGGAGGGAGAACATTAGAACAAACACCTAATGCATGCAGGGCTTAAAACCTAGATGACAGGTTGATAGGTGCAGCAGATCACCATGGCACATGTATGCCTCTGTTACAAACCTGCAAGTTCTGCACATGTATCCCAGAACTTAAAGTAAAATAAAAATTTTTAAAAACGAAAAAAAAGAATTTTAGGAATTCTCAGTGAAGAATTTCTCAAATTCCTGTATGCAGTTAAGAATTTGAAGAAAGCCCTTCTGCATAGTCATGCTGAGCCAGCTCCTGTGCCTGCAATTGGGCCACAGCCCCCTAAGCTTCGCCCTCCACCTCTTGACCTCTTGACCATGGATCCCCACCAAATGAGCAAGCCTGGGGCCTTCCTGAAAATGTGTAAGCAGGATCTGAGTGTTCTGCACACCAAAGAAATGCACTTCCTGAAGGAATGGATGAAGAGCATGGGGGGTAAACTACCACCTGCTATTCAGAAAGCTAAATCAGAAGAAAATATCAAGGAAGGAAAAACAGATAGCAGGAAGGCAGAAAGAAAACATAAAGATAGATGAACCATCAAATGAGAAAACTGATCTAGAAATTGATAATGAAGGTGTGATTGAACAAGACACTGATGCCCCTCAAGAAATGGGAGATGAAAATGCAGAGAAAACGGAGGAGATGATGGATCAGCAAATGGTAAGAAAGTGGTTGCCACTGAAACCGTAAATGATGGTGAACTGTGGCTTATTCACAGATGCCATTAAGCTGAATCCTCACTTGGCCATTCTGTGTGCCAAGAGAGCCAGTGTCTTCATCAAATTACAGAAGCCCAATGCTGCCAGTCAAGACAGTGACAGAGCCATTGAGATAAATCCTGATTCAGCTCAGACTTACAAGTGGTGAGAAAACACACACAGACTTCTGGGTCTTTGGGAAGAAGCAGCCCATGCTCTTGCCCTTGCTTGGAAATTGGATTATGATGAAGATGCTAGTAAAATGCTGAAAGAAGTTCAAATCTAGGGCCTAGAAAATTATAGAACATTGTAGAAAGTATGAGTGAAAACGTGAAGAGCAAGATATCAACGAAAGAATAGAAAGGGTTAAGAAGGCTCTCGAGAAAAGCATGAGAGATCCCAGAGGGAGGAAGAAGCCAGAAGATGATCCAGAGCTCAGTATGGCTCTTTTCCAAGTGGCCTTTCTGGGAGAATGCCTGGTAATTTTCTCAGAGAAATGCCTGGAATGGGAGGGGACATGTCTGGAATGGCAGGAATGCATGGACTCAAAATTCTTAGTGACCAGAGGTTCTCACAGCCATGCAGGGTTCAGAAGTTATGGTGGCCTTCCAGGATGTGGCCCAGAACCCAGCAAATATGTCAAAATGCCAGAGCAACCCAAAGGTTAAGAATCTCATCAGTAAATTGTCAGCCAAATTTGGAGGTCAAGCGTAATGCCCTTCTGATAAATAAAGCCCTTGATAAAGGAAAAGCAACCTAGATCACCTAATGGATGTTGCAATTATGCAAACCAGTGTACCTCTGACCTTATCAAGACAGCTGGGGTGCTTTGAAGATAATCTCTACCCGTCTACCCTGAATGCAACTAAAGCATTTTACAGCGGTTTGCCATTAGGGTATTCATGCAGATAATGCTTTCTACTAGGAATTACAAACTTTAAACACTTTTTAAACCTTAAAAATATTTAAAACAAATTAAGAGGGTCTGTTAATTCTTTATTTTATTTTATTTTATTTTTTTTTTTTTTGAGACAGAATCTCGCTCTGTTTCCCAGGCTGGAGTGCAGTGGCGTGATCTCAGCTCACTGCAACCTCCGCCTCCCAGGTTCATGCCATTCTTCTGCCTCAGCCTCCCGAGTAGCTGGGACTACAGGCGCCCGCCACCACACCCAGCTAATTTTTTTATTTTTAGTAGAGACGGGGTTTCACCATGTTAGCCACGATGGTCTCGATCTCCTGACCTTGTGATCTGCCCGCCTCAGTCTCCCAAACTGCTGGGATTACAGGTGTGAGCCATTGCCTCTCTTGACCCCGCTTTCCCCACTGTGGCCTTTATCTCTCTTTGCCTTTGCAGCAACACCCCTTAAAGACTTGTCTCCCTTGCATGTCCACCTTCTCCTTGTCATTCTCTCTTGAGCCCACTCTCAGGCTCTCACCACCATTACTCTACCAGTGGCCTCCATGGCGCTAAATCCAGTGGTCCATTCTCTGTCCTCATCTTAGTCTATCAGCATTTGACAGACAGAACTGTCTCCTCTCTGAAATGTGTTCTTTATTTGGCTTCCAGAACAAAGTATTCTCCTGGTTTTCTTCCTTTCTCTCTAGTTCTTTCCTCCTATTCTCCTTCCCTGGTTTCCCCTCATTTCCCCTGCCACATAACATTAGAGCATACCAGGACCCAGCGTACTGTACTCCCTCCCTGGTCTTCTCAGCCATTCTTATGGCTTCAAACATCATCTATAAGCCTGTAACTCCCAAATCTGAACTCCAGACTCATTTCAAGATACCTACTTGATATCTCTACTTGGATGTCTCATTAGCATCTGAAACTTGAGAACAAAACTGTACTCTGAGATCTACTCCATTTTAAACCTGCTCCTCTCACAGTCTTACTCTTAAACCTGCTCCTCTCACAGTCTTACTCATTTCAATACATGAGGCAGCTACAGCCTCCTAGACGCTCAGACCAAGAACTTTGACAGTATCCTTAACTATTCACTTTCTTTAACACCCTACACATGATCCAGAAGTAAATCTTGTCAGTATTTCAAAATCTACCTGGCATCTACTCACTTCTCACCCTCATCCATCCTGGTGCAAGCCATCCTAAAATCTTGTCTGTTATTATTGCAGCACTGTCTTAATTGGTCTCTCTGTTTTCACCCTTGCCGCTATAAACTATTCGCAGTACACCAGCCAGAATGAGATGGTTAAAACTTAAGTTAGATCATGTCACACCTCTGTTTAAAACCACCCAATGACTTAACTGAGTAAAAACCAAAGTTCTTACAATTTCCTGGAAGCCTTATGTGATCTGGCCTCCTATTACCTCTAGATTTCATCTCCTACCACGCTCTCCCTCATTCACTCTATTCTGCACACACTGGCCTCCTCTCAATGCCCTAACCCTGTCAGAGACACTACCTACTTCACCCTTTGCTGTTGCTATTTCCTTTGCCTGGAAAGCTCTTCCCCCAAAGATCATCATAGCTCCCTCTCTTACTTCCTCCTTATCTCTACTCAAATGTCACTTTCAAGAATTCCCTACTCACCACAGTTAAATTGCATTTCCCCAACACACACACACACACACACACACACACACACACACACACACGAGTCTCCCTCCTCTGCTTCATTTCCCCTTAGCACTTTTCATTATCTAACATAGCTTAATTATTTATCTAGTTTATTGTTTTTCTCCTCTTGTTTATGGTGAGCTCTATGAGAGCAAGGATTTTGGCCTATTTCCTTCACTACTGCATCCTTAGCACCTAGATGAATGACAGGCATATCACAGACACTCAATAAATATTTGTTAGTAAATAAATAAATCCACTTTTCATCACCACCTCTTGTGCTCTACACTCAGAGGTTGAAATATTGAGTCTTATTCAAGGACTCCCTGTCTTGAGTTGTTGGAACCCTTTTCTCCCAATCAGTCATCTCCTGTCTCTATAACAGATCCAACATGTCCTTCTCTGGTGACTACTTCTCAGATCTCTCCTATCCACCAAAAGATAATAAAAATAAAATTTAAAAAGACTTGTCCTCTCCTTCTCATTTAAATTTCTCTTAAACCACATCCCCACATTAACCATTTCTCTTAAACCACAGTCCCCACATCCTCACCCTCACCCACTCAACAGCCTTATGCAACCTGACTTAACCCTTTACCACACTACTCAAACTCCTTTCACTGACATCCCCGGAAATCTCCCAAACGCCAGATCCAATGGATATTTTTCAATAATGTTATTGCTGCTCTTTTCTGCTGAAAAAAGGAAGGATCTAAAAAATGAAGACACATAAAATGTTCAAGAAATAGAGGATGAAACATCATAAATACATCAATTCTCCCCAATATTAAGCTATTAATTCAATAAATTGCAATCAAAATTCCAAAAATGATATATATATATATGTGCATGTGTATGCACATGTATATAACAAAACAATCTGATTCTAAAATTCATATAGAAGAGGAAAGGGTCAAAAATAGCATTGACACTATTGGAGATGAATGTAAGTCCAGATGTCGAGATGTATTATACAGTGATAGTAATTAAGACATGCGGTATTGATACACAGTAGACAACAACTAATATAACAGGAAAAGGAAACCAGAAACACACCCATACACAGATGGAAATTTAATATATGACTAGAGGTAAGCATTTCAAATCTGTAGGAAAAGGATGGGACTAACCAATAAATGGTGATAGGACAATTGACTATACAGAAAAAAAAAGAAATTGAATCCCTATTTCACACCATACACAAACATCAATTACAGGTGAATTAAAGAACTAAATATGAAATATCTAAATATTTAAATAAGATATTGATGAATATCTTCATGCCCCAGGGTAAGGAAGAATTTCTCAATATGTCAAAAGCACAACCATAAAAGAAAAAGAGACAAATATAACTGCATTAAAATTTAAAATGTCTGCACAACAAAAAAACACCAAAAATTTGTTTTAAATAAGCAACAAGCTGGGAAAAGATATTCATATTGCATAATGCCAACATAGGATTAATATCCAGAATTTAGAAAGAACACCTACAAGCCATTAAGAAAAAGACAACCAATCTCGCTGAAAAATTGACAAAAGGAATAAACAGGTAATTCACAAAAAAAATCCAAATGACCAGCAAATATATGAAGAGATAGTTTTACTAGTAATAAGGAATATAATTAATTACATTTAGTTACATTAAAAATAATGAGATAATATTTCTGACCCATAGGTTTGGAAAATATTAAAATATTAGAATACTACGGTATCAAGTGTTGGAATGGAAATACATTTCTGGTAGGAATCTAAGGTGGTACAACTACTTTGGAGAGCAATTTGGAATATTTAATTAAAGTTAAATATCTGTAAAGCCTATGACCAAACAATTCCACCGCAAGTAATACACAAGGAGATGCACACAAGAATATCCATTGCAGCTTTATATTATATTAGCAACAAAAGAAATTTTTAACCTAAATAACCACCATCAGAATTCATAAGTAAACTGAGTTATATTTATTAAATGGAACCATACAGTGGTTAAAATAATTGAACTAGAGCTATATGCATTGACATAAATAAATCTCCAAAAATTGAAGGATTAGAAAATAGTCATAAAAAAATCCTGTATGTCACCATTTAAAGGCTTAAGACATAAGAAACAATATCCTATATTTTAACAGTATATGTATAGTAAAATGTATGCAAATATAAAAGTCTATATGAGAATAATAAGTTCAGAATAGTAGTTACTTCTGGCAGGAATGGAGGAAATGGGTTTAGAGAATAATACATTGAAAATGTTTGCTGCCTGTAATTTTGTTTTTAAAAATCTGAATCAAATATGTAAAATGTTAAATATGACAAACACAGTGGTAGGTATGGTTTTTGGTTATATTATTCTCTTTATTGTTCTGTATAAAATAGTTCATAATAAGTTAGCCTTATTTCAGGAATGTTTAACATGACAAAATCTATTACTATAATTCATTATATAAATAGGTCAAATGACACATTATACAGTTTAATAAAATTCAGCACTCTCCTGATAAGATACTTTTCTTTGTTGTTCTTCTATATGTTCCTGTCATAATCCTTGCCACATTGCAACTGTCTGTTCACTGTTAGCACATGTGCGTGTACACACACACACACACACACACACACACACAGTGGACTGTCAGCTCTGTAAGGACAGGCACAAGGGCCAGGCTACCACTGCATCCTCGTTAGCTAGTACATGCCCAGCAAAAAGGATCAAACTTGATAAATATAAAATGACATAATCTTATAAAAAGCAATAAATCTATACACTAAAATGATACCAGGTTAACATTTGGGTGATTGGATTATGGTGACATTGGGGAAGTTACTTAACCTCACTTCTCAACAATTTCCTCTTCTGTGAAAAATAATAGACTTGGTCTCTAAAGTCTTGTGAGGATTAAATGAGATAATGTATGTAATGTTCTTAGAAGAGTGCTAGCAGACAGATGTTCAATAATGAAAAGCCATTATTCATATTTTTCTAACATTTCCATAGTTATCACTTTTATCATTAAAAAGGGTTTAGAGCTAATAAAATTAATAATAATAAAAATTAAGTTTAATATATACATACATATATGAGAGCTGACCTTTCAAGAATCTTCTCTGCCTCTTTTTTAGGAATATTTATACCTGTTAACTTGAGAGCATCGATAAATTTCTGAAGTATCCATCACTCCTTTAAAGGAATAAAGAAAATAAGGATCAACTGGAAAGTTTGAAAAGATACACAAGCAAATATTATTTAGTGCATTATTGTCCTCAGAGCCACTCAGGCAAAGAATGCACTTTTAGCAAAAAAAAAAAAAAAAAGAAAAGGGAGAAATGGCCTCAGGTGTAAGCAACTGGAATCGTTCCTACATGATTTCCGGTGGCAGAAACACAACAAGGTGCCTCTCAGATGACTAGAAGTGAAATCTCATGCCTTGGAATTGCCAGATAAACATTCCTTGGCCTTTGTTGTACACATCCTAAAAATTAATAGCATGAGTTTACTGGTGCAGAGAACCACTGCAAGAAGAAAATGGTTCACCTAAAGAAAATTTTTAGTAGTGTCTTTGTAAAAGCCACCCCCAGAGCCTAAAACTGCTGTACATATTGGAATCTTATATGACCTGGGGATTTCTAAATCTGAAGCCCATCTGGGAACTCATCTTGAAACACGGACAAGCCAAGGTCAAGAATAAGACCATCTCTCCAACAGACAACACAGTGAGGAGCACCTGAGGAAGTTTGCTGTCATTTGCTTAGAAGACCTCATTCATGATGTTGCCTTCCCAAGGAAGTATTTCCAGATCTCATGGTTCCTGCACCCTTTCCAGCTCTTGGTGGCCCATCACGCTATCAAGAATAGAGTGAGGTTCTTCCATGAGATGGGCTCGCCTGGCTGTCAGAGTGAATGCAGCAATCAGCTCAACCACCAGCTGAACTAGACCCAGAATACCTGAATGCATGGTGCATTGGAAGCATGTGTTTCTGTTTTTTTGAACTGTTATCAAAAATAACAATTGGAATTGTATCTTGAGGGAAGAGTATCTCCTGCTTTATCTTCAAAAACTGGAAGAGAAGAGTCAATGAAAATACAGCAAGTTATGTACATGGCAGGCACCTCTCATCACAGTCCAGCTCCAAGGAAACATTCCAGTGTTTTCTACATTGGCTGCTGCCTCCTCTGAAATAATCACGTGTCATGAAAGGAGTCCTGCTTTGTCACATTTGCACGAGTCCCCCTAAGACTCCTGTAGCAGTGGACCAAGCCCAAGGACATAATTGAATCTGAGAGTTCCTAGGGCCTTGTTCTGAAAAGACTTGAAATACAATTAGGAAGACGGGCACAAAAACAGGTGGTGGGTTGTCTCTTGTGAGTCTATGTTCCAACTTTTCACTGATGACTTTGAGAGCGCTCAGACTTGGCTGACTTTAGGTATATCTGCTGGCTTTTGTATCATAGTCTGCAACTAGCTTAGTCCTTTTTTCTAAAAGCTCAGAATTTGAGAATGAAGGACCCTTTCACCAGAAAAACATGTATGTACTCAAAATTTTGCTTGCAGTTTTAGGATGTTTAGACCCTTCTCCTCAGGGACCTATGCACCTTATGTGAGGAAGTCCTGCTCTTATCAGGATTGGTCATCCAGGCCCTGATCTTGCTCATCTCTGGTTCCATGTCCTGTGGAGGACCAAAGCTCACCAAGATAGCTTTTTTCCCTTCACTGTGGCAGACTGTGTTGCCCCTGCGCCATCTATAACTCTGGGAAATGCCCATCATATCTTCTCTTGGGCTTCAGGAAAGAATTTCCTGGTTTCTCTGATGATCAGCACTCTCCTTAAAATCCAGATAAAAAAGGAATGAACCATTTTCTCAGTTTGGTGTGGATAAAATTAGTGCTGTTTGATTTTTTGGGCCCCAGGCAGGCAGGTTAATTAGCATTTCCTTGTATATTCTAGTCTCCAGTAGTCTAGTCCAGGAGACTCTAGTCTCCTGCTGGTAATAATATAGTAGTAGATAGTAGACCAGCAACTGGGCTTCTTGGGATTTTAATCCTGAAAACAGTGGGTCTGACACTGTAGTGTTTTTCATCAGTGTCCACCCCTAAATGGGCCTTCGCACTACTCCCTTCACTTGGTTGCCTCCACTTGCCATCTGAGCAATTGGCGAGGATGTGCCAGGCCTAGGTTACACTTGAAAACATACTTGACCTTGTATTCCCTGCTCCTTTGAGGTCAGTTTTGCTGCAATTTTGGTTCATGGGGCCCTCATACATGGCTGAGAAATTGAGTGAGAGGTATAACAGTGCCTTAAAATGTTTCAGCCTATGAGGTAATTAATTAGGTTGGTTAGCTCCAGAGGTAACCTGCCAGGAAGATATGATATAGATGTTACTCTTACACTGTAATGAAACATTGTGAAATCAGATTACTTTAAAATGAGGTACCACAAAGTCATGGGAAAAAAGCAGTTGTGAGTATGGAAGCCCAGGGCTTACATCCCAGCTCTCTCTTATACTAAATATGGGTACAGTGTTTCCACCCTTTGTCTGTAAGATGGGAGCTAATATCCTCTAGCCTGTCTGTCTCACATGGTAATTAAAAGGATTAAGCAAAACAATAGTTTATAATTCATAATTCTATACAAATAAGAGATGTTATTATTTAAAAAAATAAATCTTGAAGCTTGTAATCTGGTCTTTGGGGAAAAAATCATAAATCATAAAATACAAATTTGGTAACATTGAAAACACCTGTGCATCAAAACACATCATTAAAAAGATGAAAAATAAAAGCCACAGAACAAAAATACAAACCTTACAACTAACAAAAGATAGTATTCAGAGTACATAAGAAATCCTATCAATCACTAAGAAAAAGACAAATAATGTAATGAATAAGCAAAGAATATGAAAAGGGACCCCATAGGACTTATAACTTATTCATGTTTCTATATTATCACAGTCCTCACCTCATTGGGCTCTCATTTCTTTCCTTAGTCCCACTTAGATTCCATGATCCATCAACTTAACCAATACCTTACATATCCCTTTACTCCTGATGCCTCTTTTATTTCCCTTATTCATTTGGCAAAACCATCACCTTGAGTAAATCCCTGCAACTTCACCTCTGTGGCTGACTGGAGCTATAGGCACACTTCTTCCAATGCAGCTGAAAAACGGGTACAAATTCGGTTAAGAATTTGCGGATATGATAGCGGAAAGATGAAGGAGGCCCATAAAATGGCTTCCATGTCTTCAGTGAAGAATGAAGCACTGTGGTAAAAGTGAGGATGTAAGGATGTGAGGGAGAGAGGATCAGAAAGACAGGATGTGAGGACAGAAGTTTGAAGAGATTTGAAAAAGGTACAGCATCATTTTTATGGAGACAGGGAGATGATGTTACCAGAGAAACTGGGCACTATGAGTACCAATTTACAATCATGATTTTTTAGGATATCAATTTGTGAAACTTGCAGTGCATCAAGTAGCTCACAACTGAGCACACTGACCTTATGTAGCTTTAGTGGACCACTATTTCAGAACCCTTTGTCAGAGTATACCAGCCTCCACTCTGCTATGACATGCAGTTATTCTAGTCTACAGTCCAGAGGCTCTGCGCCAATCTATTCTTCTTAGTGTACAGAATTTAGGCATTATGGAGCTGAACAACAGAGGGAGCCAGGATCCTGATTGCTATGGAAACGTCATGTCATCCTGGATTACATAGGTTTATGTGTGACAGAAATAAACTAGGATCGGACCTTAAGCCACTGGTATTTCAGGTTTTCTCCACCACCCCCAGCTGATTGTAAATATAACCAACAAAAAGCTCCAATGAATAATGTACAACTATTCAGAATAACGGATCACCACAAAAATGCCCATGTTAAACCATAGTAAAAATGACTATCAATATAGGGTTTGAAACTGTTAATTATATTGAAGTCAAAATAACTTTCGCGTTTATATGAAATCAAGAGATTAGAAATATCTGTTTTACTAACTTATAAATCCACATAGTAATGATATTTATGAAATAAAAGACTTTGTAAAAATGATAAATGAAAACAGCAATAATTGTGCAAATTGCCTCAACATTTCATTTAGCCAGTATTTATGGAGTATATAAACAGTGCTACACAGTATGTTGTCTGCTAGGGATATGAACATGAAATAGTCTCTAACTTCCATTGAGGAGCCAACAGAGACATAAACAGATAACTTTCTCTCTGTTTATCTTCAGTGTGATTTTTTATTTATGAACAGATTTTATAAATTTAGCAAATGGATAAAAAATATTTTTTTAGCCTTGGAAAAGATACCAGTTTTGGTGGGGAAAAAGGCTAAATGTAATTTGGCTCACTGAGCAGTAGAGGGTGATAGAACACCAAAATGACAGCTTGAGAATGCCTTTAGACCACGTTGTATTTTTCTATAAACAATTCATTCAATTAATATTTTTCCACAAACTCAATGACATATTTAGCTATGAATATAAAAGTACATAAGGAAATTATAAATAAAGTGCAGTCATAATTTGGGAAAAGCAAGGGGAAAAAATTAGCAATTTTCACTTATTCCTGTTTTATTTATTATTCTTTATTACATTTTTTTCCTCCGTGTTACAATATCAGGAAAGCTCATCGACCGAGGAAATACATTGCACCAGTTTTTTCTCATAAGTGTTACAAATAAAGGTTGTCTTATTGGTATCTTTCATGTTAAGGGTCAAGTTAATGAAAGCCAATGTGGTAGGTGCATGGCAACAGCAAAAGACAAAAGAATGATAAAATCTTTATATCTGTGGGTAGCATCTTTTTGAAGCATGAAATTTAATAACCCTGATTTACGTCAGTTCTTTTGACAGTAATATGTCATATATAATATTCACATGATAAAACTCTTTAAAATGCAACTACAGCAAAGTGGTGTTTCCTCATCAGAATATATTTTGTTTAAAATTATTGTGAAAGTGCCTCTTATTTATGTTATTATAATGCATTTCCTACAAAAAGAGAAAGTGGCTTTTCTTCATCCGAATATATTTTGTTTACAATTATTGTGAAAGTGCTTCTTATTTATGTTATTATGGACAATTAACTCTCCCTTTTCAAGGGCATAAATGAGCAGTTATTTGTGGAGCACACACTAGGTGCTCAATTTATGTATGTTCAGAGGAAGAGATTTTTGAAACTTTGAGTTAGGCTAGAGTGCTGTTTTAGTTTCCTAGGACTGACTTAACAAATTACTAGAAACTGGGTGGCTTAAAACAATAAAAATTTAGTTTCTCACAGTTCAGGAGGCCAGAAGACCAAAATCAAAGTGTTGGCAAGGTTGGTTCCTTCCAGAGGTTCTAAGGGAGAATCTGTTCCCTGCTTCATTCCTGATTGCCAGCAATCCTTGGCATTCCTTGGCTTCTGGCTGCACCACTCTAGTCTCTGCCTCCACCATACATGGCATTCTCTGTGGGTGTCTGTGACTTTTTTTATATATACTTTAAGCTCTGGGATACATGTGCAGAACGTGCAGGTTTGTTACATAGGTATACATGTGCCATGGTGGTTTGCTGCACTTATCAACCCATCATCTAAGTTTTAAGCCCTGCATGCATTAGGTAGTTCTCCTAATGCTATTCCTCCCCTTGCCCCTACCCGCCAAAAGGCCCCAGTGTGTAATGTTCCCCTCCCTGTGTTCGTGTGTTCTCATTGTTCAACTCCCACTTATGAGTGAGAACATGTGGTGTTTGGTTTTCTGTTCCTATGTTAGTTTGCTGAGAATGATAGTTTCCAGCTTCATCCATGTCCCTGCAAAGAACTTTTTTATGGCTGCATAGTATTCCATGGTGTATATGTGCCACATTTTCTTTATCCAGTCTGTCATTGATGGGCATTTGGGTTGGTTCCAAGTCTTTGCTATTGTAAATAGTGTTGCAATAAACATACATGTACATGTGTCTTTATAATAGAATGATTTAAAATCCTTTGGGTATATACCCAGTAATGGGATTGCTGAGTCTAATGGTATTTCTGGTTCTAGATCCTAGAGGAATCGCCACACTGTCTTCCACAATGGTTGAACTAGTTGATACTCCCACCAACAGTGTAAAAGCGTTTCTATTCTTCACATCCTCTCCACCATCTGTTGTTTCCTCACTTTTTAATGATCACCATTCTAACTGGCATGAGATGGTATCTCATTGTGGTTTTGATTTGCATTTCTCTAATGACCAGGGATGATGACATTTTTTTCATATATTTGTTGGCCACATGAATGTCTTCTTTTGAGAAGTGTCTGTTCGTATTCTTCACCCACTTTTTGATGGGATAGTTTGTCTTTTTCTTGCAAATATGTTAAAGTTCTTTGTAGATTCTGGATATTAGCCCTTTGTCAGATGGGTAGATTGCAAAAATTTTCTCCCATTCTGTAGGTTGCCTGTTCACTTTGATGATAATTTCTTTTGCTGTGCAGAAGCTCTTTAGTTTAACTAATCCCATTTGTCAATTTTGGCTTTTGTTGCAATTGCCTTTGGTGTTTTAGTCATGAAGTCTTTGCCAGTGCCTATATACTGAATGGTATTGCCTAGGTTTTCTTCTAGAGTTTTCATGGTTTTAGGCCTTATGTTTAAGTCTTAATCCATCTCGAGTTAATTTTTGTATAAGGTGTAAGGAAGGGGTCCAGTTTCAGTTTTCTTCATATGGCTAGCCAGTTTTCCCAACACCATTTATTAAATAGGGAATCCTTTGTCCATTGCTTGTTTTTGTCAGTTTTGTCAAAGATCAAATGGTTGCAAATGTATGGTGTTATTTCTGAGGCCTCTGTTCTGTTCCATTGGTCTATACATCTGTTTTGGTACCCAGTAGAATGTGGCATAGTTTGAAGTCAGATACTATGATGCTTCCAGCTTTGTTTTTCTGACTTAGGTTTCTCTTGGCTATATGGGCTCCTTTTTGGTTCCATGTGAAATTCGAAGTAGTTTTTTCTAATTCTGTGAAGAAAGTCAATGATAGCTTGATGGGAACAGCATTGAATCTAGCTTGATAGGAACAGCATTGAATCTATATATTACCTTGGGAAGTATGGCCATTTTCACTATATTGATTCTTCCTATCCATGAGCATGGAATGTTTTTCCATTTGTTTATGTCCTCTCTTATTTTCTTGAGCAGTGGTTTGTAGTTCTCCTTAAAGAGGTCCTTCACATCCCTTGTAAGTTGGATTCCAAGGTATTTTATTCTCTTGGTAGCAATTGTGAATGGGAGTTCACTCGTGATTTGGCTCTCTATTATTGGTGTATAGGCATGCTTGTGATTTTTGCACATTGATTTTCTATCCTGAGACTTTGCTGAACTTGCTTATCAGCTTTAAAAGATTTTGGGCTGAGACATTGGGGTTTTCTAAATATGCAATCATGTCATCTGTAAGCAGAGACAATTTGACTTCCTATCTTCCTATTTAAATACACTTTATTTCTTTCTCTTGCCTGATTGCCCTGGCCAGAACTTCCAATACTATGTTGAATAGGAGTGGTGAGATAGAGCGTCCTTGTCTTGTGCTGGTTTTCAAAGGGAATGCTTCCAGTTTTTGCCCATTCAATATGATATTGGCTGTGGGTTTGTCATAAATAGTTCTTATTATTTTGAGGTATGTTCCACAAATACCTAGTTTATCAAGTGCTTTTAGCATAGGGGGTTTTGAATTTTATTGAAGGCCTTTTCTGCATCTATTGAGATAATCATGTGGTTTCTGTCATTGGTTCTGTTTATGTGATGGATTATGTTTATTGATTTGTGTATGTTGAACCAGCCTTGCATCCCAGTGATGAAGCTGATGAAGCTGACTTGATCGTGGTGGATAAGTTTTTGATGTGCTGCTGGATGCGGTTTGCTAGTATTTTACTGAGGATTTTCACATCAATGTTCATCAGGGATATTGGCTTGAAATTTTCTTTTTTTGTTGTGTCTCTGCCAGGTTTTGGCATCAGGATGATGCTGGCCTCATAAAAATGAGTTAGGGAGGAGTCCATCTTTTTCTGTTGTTTGGGATACTTTCAGAAGGAATGGTATCAGCTCTTTGTACCTCTGGTAGAATTTGGCTGTGAATCTGTCTCGTCCTGGCCTTTTTTTTGGTTGGTAGGCTATTAATTACTGCATCAATTTCAGAACTTGTTATTGGTCTATTCAGGGATTCTACTTCTTCCTAGTTTAGTCTTCGTAGGGTGTATGTGTCCAGGAATTTAACCATTTCTTCTAGATTTTCTAGTTTATTTGCACAGAGGTGTTTATAGTATTCTCTGATGGTAGTTTGTATTTCTGTGGGATGAGTGGTGATGTCCCCTTTATCATTTTTTATTGTGTCTATTTAATTCTTCTGTCTTATATTTTTTCTATCTAGTTCGTTAATCTTTTCAAAAAGCCAGCTGCTGGATTCATTGATTTTTTGAAGGGTTTTTCGTGTCTCTATCTCCTTCAGTTCTGCTCTGATGTTAGTTATTTCTTGTCTTTTGCTAGCTTTTGAATTTGTTTACTCTTGCTTCTCTAGTTCTTTTAATTGTGATGTTAGGGTGTTGATTTTGGATCTTTCCTACTTTCTCTTGTGGGTATTTTGTTCTATAAATTTACCTCTAAACACTGCTTTAGCTGTGTCCCAGAGATTCTGGTACATTGTGTCTTTGTTCTCATTGGTTTCAAGGAACTTATTTATTTCTGCCTTAATTTAGTTATTTACCCAGTAGTCATTCAGGAGCAGGTTGTTCAGTTTCCATGTAGTTGTGTGGTTTTGAGTGAGTTTCTTAATCCCGATTTCTAATTTGATTGCACTGTGGTCTGAGAGACTGTTTGTTATGATTTCTGTTCGTTTACATTTGCTGAGGAGTGTTTTACTTCCAATTATGTGGTCACTTTTGGAATAAATGCTATGTGGTGCTGAGAAGAATGTATATTCTGTTGATTTTGGGTGGAGAGTTCTGTAGATGTCTATTAGCTCTGCTTGGTCCAGAGCTGAGTTGAAGTCCTGAATATCCTTGTTAATTTTCTGTTTCATTGATCTGTCTAATATTGACAGTGGGATGTTAAAGTCTCCCACTATTATTGTGTGGGAGTCTAAGTCTCTTTGTAGGTCTCTAAGAACTTGCTTTATGAATCTGGGTTGTGGGGAAAAGAAAGAGAGATCAGATTGTTACTGTGTCTGTGTAGAACGAAGTAGACATAGGAGACTCCATTTTGTTCTCTACTAAGAAAAATTCTTCTGCCTTGAGATGCTGTTAATCTATAGCCTTACCCCCAACCCCGTGCTCTCTGAAACATGTGCTGTGTCAACTCAGGGTTAAATGGATTAAGGGCTGTGCAAGATGTGCTTTGTTAAAACAGATGCTTGAAGGCAGCATGCTCGTTAAGAGTCATCACCACTCCCTAATCTCAAGTACCCAGGGACACAAACACTACGGAAAGCCACAGGGACCTCTGCCTAGGAAAGCCAGGTATTGTCCAAGGTTTCTCCCCATGTGATAGTCTGAAATATGGCCTCGTGGGAAGGGAAAGACCTGACCGTCCCCCAGCCCAACAACCATAAAGGGTCTGTGCTGAGGAGGACTAGTATAAGAGGAAGGAATGCCTCTTTGCAGTTGAGACAAGAGGAAGGCATCTGTCTCCTGCCCATCCCTGGGCAATGGAATGTCTCGGTATAAAACCCAATTGTATGTTCCATCTACTGAGATAGGGGAAAACTGCCTTAGGGCTGGAGGTGGGACATGCGGGCAACAATACTACTCTGTAAGGCATTGAGATGTTTATGTGTATGCATATCTAAAGCACAGCACTTAATTCTTTACCTTGTCTACGATGCAGAGACCTTTGTTCACATGTTTATCTGCTGACCTTCTCTCCATATTATCCTATGACCCTGACACATCCCCCTCTCCAAGAAACACCCAAGAATGATCAATAAATACTAAGGGAACTCAGAGACTGGTGGGATCTTCCATATGCTGAACACTGGTCCCCTGGGCCCCCTTATTTCTTTCTCTATATTTTGTCTCTGTGTCTTTTTCTTTTCCAAGTTTCCCGTTCCACCTAACGAGAAACACCCACAGGTGTGGAGGGGCAACCCACCCCTTCACTGGGTGCTCCTGTATTGGGTGAATATATATTTAGGGTAGTTAGCTCTTCTTGTTGCATTGATTCCTTTACCATTATATAATGCCCTTCTTTGTTTTTTTTAAATCTTTGTTGGTTTAAAGTCTGTTTTATCAGAGACTAGGATTGCAACTCCTGCTTTTTTTTGCTTTCCATTTGCTTGGTAAATATTCTTCCATCCCTTTGTTTTGAGCCTATGTTTGTCTTTGCATGTGAGATGGGTCTCCAGAATACAACACACTGATGGGTCTTGACTGTAGCCGATTTTCCAGACTGTGTCTTTTAATTGGAGCATTTAGCCCATTTACATTTAAGGTTAATGTTGTTATGTGTGAATTTGATTTTGTCAACATGATGCTAGCTGGCTATTTTGCACGTTAGCTGATGCAGTTTCTTCATAGTGTCATTAGTCTTTATATTTTCATATGTTTTTTAGCAGTGGCTGGTACCAATTTTTCCTTTCAATATTTAGTGCTTCCTTCAGGAGCTCTTGTAAGGTGGGCCTGGCAGTAATAAAATCCCTCAGCATTTGCTTGCCTGTAAAGGATTTTATTTCTCCTTTGCTTTTGAAGCTTAGTTTGGCTGGATATGAAATTCTGGGTTGAAAATTATTTTTTTAAGAATGTTGTATATTGGCCCCCTACTGTCTTCTGGCTTGTAAAGTTTCTGCCAAGAGATCCGCTGTTAGTCTGATGGGCTTCCCTTTGTAGGTAACCCGACCTTTCTCTCTGGCTGCTCTTAATGTTTTTTCCTTCATTTCAACTTTGGTGAATCTGATGAGTATGTGTCTTGGGGTTGCTCTTCTTGAGGAGTATCTTAATGGTGTTGTCTGTATATCCTGAATTTGAATGTTGGCCTGTCTTGCTAGGTTGGGGAAGTTCTCCTGGATAATATCCTGAAGTGTTTTCCAACTTGGTTCCCTTCTCCCTGTCAGTTTCAGGTACATCAATCAATTGTAGATTTGATCTTTTCACATAGTCCTATATTTCTTGGAGGCATTGTTGGTTCCTTTTCAGTCTTTTTTCTCTAATCTTGTCTTCATGCTTTATTTCATTAAGTTGATCTTCAATCTCTGTTATGCTTTCTTCTGCTTTATCAATTTGGCTATTGATACTTGTGTATGCTTCACGAAGTTCTCATGCTGTGTTTTCAGCCCCATCGGGTCATTTATGTTCTTCTCTAAACTGGTTATTCTAGTTAGCAGTTCCTGTAACCTCCTATCAAAGTTCTTAGCTTCCTTGCATTGGGTTAGAACATGCTCCTCTATCTCGGAGGAGTTTGTTATTACCCACCTTCTGAAGCCTCCTTCAGTCAATTCGTCAAACTCATTCTCTGTCCAGTTTTGTTCCCTTGCTGGCAAGGAGTTGTGATCCTTTGGAGGAGAAGAGGCATTCTGGTTTTTGGAATTTTCAGCATTTTTGTGCTGGTGTTTCCTCATCTTCGTGGATTTATCTACCTCTGATCTTTGATGCTGAGGACATTTGGATGGGGTTTTTGCTTGGGTGTCTTTTTTATTGATGTTGATATTATTGCTTTCTGTTTGTTAGTTTCCCTTTTAACAGCCAGGACCCTCTTCTGCAGGTCGGCTGGAGTTTGCTGGAGGTCCACCCCAGACCCTGTTTGCCTCTGTATCACCAGCAGAAGCTGCAAAACAGCAAAGACTGCTGCCTGCTTCTTCCTCTGGAAGCTTCATTCCAGAGGGGCACCCACCAGGTGCCAGCCAGAGCTCTCCTGTATGAGGTGTCTGTTGACCCTTGCTGGGAGGTGTCTCCCAGTCAGGAGGCACGAGGGTCAGGGACCCACTTGAGGAGGCAGTCTGTCCCTTAGCAGAGCTCGAGCCCTGTGCTGGGAGAGCCACTGCTCTCTTCAGAGCTTTCAGGCAGGAACATTTACATCTTCTGAAACTACACACATAGCTGCCCCTTCCCCCAGGTGCTCCGTCCCAGGGAGATGGGAGTTTTATCTATAAGGCCCTGACTGGGACTGCTGCCTTTCTTTCAGAGATGCCCAGAGAGGAGGAATCTAGAGAGGCAGTCTGGCTACAGCAGCTTTGCCACACTGCAGTGGGCTCTGCCCAGTCCAAACTTCCCAGCGGCTTTATTTACACTGTGAGGAGAAAACCGCCTACTCAGGCATCAGTGAGAGTGGATGCCCCTGCCCCCATCAAGCCTAAGTGTCCCAGGTTGACTTCAGACTGCTGTGCTGGTAGTGAGAATTTCCAGCCAGTGGATCTTAGCTTGCTGGGCTCCATGGGGTTGGGACCTGCTGAGAAAGACCACTTGGCTCCCTGGCTTCAGCCCCCTTTCCAGGGCAGTGAATGGAAAGTGGCACTGGTGTTCCAGGTGCCACCCAGGTACAAAAGAAAACTCCTGCAGCTAGCTCAGTGTCTGCTTGTGTGGCCACCCAGTTTTGTGCATGAAACCCAGGACCCTGGTGGTATAGGCACCTGAGGGAATCTCCTGGTCTGTGGGTTGTAAAAACCATGGGGAAAATGTAGTATCTGGACCGAATAGCACCATCCCTCATGGCACAGTCCGTCACTGCTTCCCTTGGATAGGGGAGGGAGTTCCTCAACCCCTTGTGCTTCCCGGGTGAGGCGACACCCCACTCTGCTTCAGCTCACCCACCGTGGGCTGCACTCACTGTCTAACCAGTCCCAGTGAGATGAACCGGGTACCTCAGTTGGAAATGCAGAAGTCACCCAACTTCTGCATTGGTCTCGCTGGGAGCTGCAGACCAGACCTGTTCATATTCAGCCATCTTGCCCAGAACCCCCATCTGTGTCTTTATATAGCCTTCTTATAAGGATACCAGTCATTGGATTTAGGGCCCACTCTAACCTAATATGACCTCATCTTAATGAATTATATCTGCAAAGACCCTATTTCCAAATAAGTTCACATTCTGAGGTTCCAAATGCATATGAATTTGGGGGGACATTATTCAACCCAGCACAAGTATAGTAATGCTATTTAGTATGTCTTCAAATAAATTGTAAAAGGGAAGAAAATTCCTTTATGGAAATATAATATGGATACTGAATATGTTATATTTAGAATAGACACATCCCAAAGTACATTCAACTGAGTCTTTTTATTTTACATTATTTTTATATTTATGTATATTTATATTTATACCTTGCCTTGTTCTATGAGGGTTTTGGGGTGTCTTACAATAAGAACACTTAGTTTATAATATGCACAGCATAAAATGTATGCTGCTCATTGTCAATAGTGTATAGTTTTTATTAACAATATAAAATTAGAGATTCAGTAATAAAGGAAGATATAGTAAAATCCTTACTATACGTGAAGTCCACAAAGTTTAATCACATAAAATCCATGGCTACATTATTGCAAAGTTTAAAAAAAAACTGCTCAATTAGTCTTCCAGTTAATGTGTGCTTTATTTGTTTTCATTTATGAGCTATGTAAGAAATAGACCAATTATTACAAAATATGTAGCATACACTGAGTTGAGAAAGCCCCAAATTATCACAAAGTAGTCACTTCCTGACTCTTCACCATGCAGAAGATAATACCTTTAGCTGGTCTTCATTTGAGAATTGCACCCAGGAAAAGAATGGGAGCCAATTGCCAGTTGAATTCCATCTGAATTTACATTATCTCAGAGACATTATCACAGTTTTAACAGTCAAGACCAGAGAATGATGAAATAGAGATGATAAAAGGAAATATAGTCTGTTGCACAATTCTCATTATCAGAAAAAAGAGAATGCATCAGCTCCTTTGGAAAAGCCAAGTTTTGCTATGAGTTGTTTAAAAATGTCTTGCTGAGTGATGAAGGGAGTAGATAATGTCCTTTTAAAATTGCTGAAGTAATTGCAAAATCAGCTTTATAAGGCTGCTTCTTATCAATTGTTTTGTTATAGTGGAGGCCATGATGCTAAAACATAACTCAGTCAAGGCAGTTATGGGAAGGGCCAAGATAATACAAGCCAATGATTCCAGCTTTTTCCAAGAATACAAGTTAAAGTGACTAGAATGTAACTAAAACAAACACCCTTCAAACTCACCTCCCTAAATATCACCTTCCCACCTAGCCTTTCGTTAGGTATGGGATAGTAGACTCTATCTTCCTGTGCTCACTGATGAGAACACAGAAAGCTAATATTCAGAGCTGTTAAATCCATACATGCTTTAAAAACAAGTGAACAGACAGATACATTACATATTTCTTTAAATTTTACATTTGGGAGTACATGTTCTAGTTTGTCACATGGATATATTATGTAGTGGTAATGTTTGGGTTTCTAATGAACCAACCAGCAATAGTGAATATTGTACCCAATAGGTAATTTTTGAGCCCTCATCCTCCTCCCATTCTCCCCTTTTTTGGAGTCCTCAGTGTTATTTTCATCTTTATGTCCATGTGTTCCTATTGTTTAGTTCCCACTTACAAGTGAAAACATGCATAATTTGATTTCTGTTTCTGAGTTATTTCACTTATGGCCTCCAGCTCCATCCATGTTGCTGCAGAGGACATGATTTTATTCATTTTTATGGCTGCATAGTATTCTAATATATATATACCAGATATATATATGATATATATATACCAGATATATATATGATATATATATACCAGATATATATATGATATATATATACCAGATATATATATGATATATATATACCAGATATATATAGGATATATATATACCAGATATATATAGGATATATATATACCAGCTCTATATAGGATATATATATACCAGCTCTATATAGGATATATATACCAGCTCTATATAGGATATATATATACCAGCTCTATATAGGATATATATATACCAGCTCTATATAGGATATATATATACCAGCTCTATATAGGATATATATATACCAGCTCTATATAGGATATATATATACCAGCTCTATATAGGATATATATATACCAGCTATATATAGGATATATATATACCAGCTATATATAGGATATATACACCAGATATATATAGGATATATATATACACCAGATATATATAGGATATATATATACCAGATATATATGATATATATGATATATATGGGATATATATGATATATATGATATATATGGTATATATATGATATATAGTATATATGATATATATGGTATATATATGATATATAGTATATATGATATATATGGTATATATGATATATAGTATATATGATATATATGGTATATATGGTATATATATGATATATGATATATATGATATATATGATATATGATATATATGATATATATGATATATATGGTATATATGATATATATGGTATATATGGTATATATATGATATATATGATATATATGGTATATATATGATATATATGATATATATGGTATATATATGATATATATGATATATATGGTATATATATGATATATATGATATATATGGTATATATATGATATATATGATATATATCATATATATGGTATATATATGATATATATGATATATATCATATATATGGTATATATATGATATATATGGTATATATGATATATGTGATATATGTGATATATATGATATATGTGATATATGTGACATATATGTGACACATATATGTGACATATATGTGATATATATGCTATATATGACATATGATATATGGTATATGACACATATGATATATATGACATATATGATATATTTATATATGACATATATTATATATATTATATGATATATATGAGATATATGACATTTCCTTTACCTAGTCAACCACTGATGTACACTTAGGGTTGAATCTATGACTTTCCTATTGTGAATAGTGCTGTGATAAATATATGAGTGCAGGTCTTTTTGATATAACAATTTATTTTCCTTTGGGTAGCTTCCCTGTAGATTGCTGAGTTGAATGATAGCTCTATGTTTAGCTCTTTGAGAAATCTCTATACTGTTTGCCACAGGAGCTGTACTAATTTTTTTTCCCATCAATAGTGCATAAGTATTCCCTTTTCTCTGCATCCTTGCCAACATCTATTATTTTTTGACTTTTAAATAATAGCCATTCTGACTGATGTGACAAGGTTTCTCGTTGTTTACTTTGCATTTCTCTGATGATTAATGATGTTGAGCATTTTTTTCATGTTTGTTGGTTACTTGTATTTTAAGAAATGTCTGTTCTTGTCCTTTGCCCACTTTTTTAAGGGGTTGTTTTTTTCTTGTTGATTCATTTGAGTTCCTTATAGATTCTGGATATCAGTCCTTTTGTTGAATGCATAGTAAGTAAACATTTTCTCCCTGTATTAGTCTGTTCTCACACTGCTACAAAGAATGGCCTGAGACTGGGTAATTTATAAAGGAAACAGGTTCAATTGACTCACAGTTCCACATGACTGGGGAGGCCTCAGGAAACTTATAATCATGGCAGATAGGGAAGCAAACATGTCCTTCTGCACAAGGCAGCAGAAGAGAGAAGTGTGGAGCGAAGGAGGAGGAACCCCTTATAAAACCATGGGACCTTGTGAGAACTCACTCACTATCATGAGAACAGCATGGGAGATACCACACCCATGATCCAATCACCTCCCACCTGGTCCCTCCCTCGACACATGGGGATTAGGGGGATTACAATTCGAGATGAGATTTGGGTGGGGACAGAGAGCCAAACCATATCACTCCCATTCTGTAGGTTGTCTTAGTTTATTCTGTTGTTTCTTTTGCTGTGCAGAAGCTCATTCATTTAATTATTTGTCTATTTTTGTTTTCATTGTATTTGCTTTTCAGTTCTTAATCATAAATTATTTGCCTAGGCCAATATCCAGAAGAGTTTTTCCTAAGTTTTCTGCTAGGATTTTTGTAGTTTCAGGTCTTACTTTTAAGCCTTTAATCCATCTTTTTTTGTATATAGTAAGAGATATATACAATTTTGTATATAGTGAGAGATAAGGGTACAGTTTGATTCTTCTTCATGTGGTTAGTCAGTTTTCCCAGCACCATTTATTGAATAGGGAGTTCTTTCTCCATTGTTTATTTCTGTCAACTTTGTTCAAGATCAGATGGTTGTAGCTATATGGCTTTATTTCTGGGTTATCTATTCTGTTCCATTCATCTATGTCTATATTTGCACCAGTATCATGTTGTTTTGGTTACTATAGCCTAGTAGTATAGTTTGAAGTCAGGTAATGTGATGTCTCTGGCTTTGTTCTTTTTGCTTAGGATGTTTTTGCTATGTGGGCTCTTTTTTGGTTCCATATGAATTTTAGAATTGTTTAGAAAAGTTACATTTCTAAGACAATGAAATATAAATGCAGCCTGGGCAATATAGTGAGATCCTCCCTCTACAGAAGAAAAACGAAGTCACTAGCTTGTCAAAATAGAACTCTAGACAAATACCTGAATGGTTCCTGCAGGGAAACTTGGGATTTCCTCAAGAAAAGGTTCTGGGGACTTCAAGTCCAATACAGTAGACCCAGCACAAAGCTTTTTCTTCTCTACTTTCTGAGACCTAATGATAACATAGAGGTTAACTCAGAACAGTAAACAGAACAGTAAGAGGGTCACCAGTGGATGAGAGTTTAAAACAATGGAAGACAGAAAGAGACTGGAAGCCTAAGGCTAGATAAGAGAGAATCAGCAGCCCAGAATGTGCAGGAAGGGATTTTAATGCCAGAGTGAGTCTGTCTCTACGGCAGAAACCCACAGAAGCCCAGGGCTGAGCTGGCAGGTGCCTCAGAGGGCAGGGGCAGAGGAGAGGTAAAATAGAAGGGTTAACTGAAAGCCTGCCTAGTGCACAGTCTACACCAGACATGTACCTACACTCCCAACCCTCGTCTCCCACTCCTAAATACACAGAATACCAACTAGTATGAAATCCTGGCCGTAAAAAAAAAAAAAAAAAAAAAAAAAAAAAAAAAAAAAAGTTTCTTTTCTTGAAAAATTGAGTAAACTGGCTGAGAAGAATCAGAAATGGTGAAAATGGATGCCAGTGCCCCAAGTAAAGCTCTCTCTATTCTTGCATTTTGTAACCCCATTCCTCCCCGCAAAAACTAAAAGTCTCCAGCATTCTAACCCTAAAATGAACATGACTAGTGGATAAGTCTATTTTCAAAAGGAATGACTAGAAATGAGTGACAAAAATTTGTGTTCCTCATTCCTTACTGTGATGCCTCTTCTGGTAGGTGACTTCCAGGCCAGGGACTATATTTTCCAGCCTCGCTTGCATTCCAATGTAGTCATTTAACTACATGGGATATAAGTAGAAGTGATGTGTATCACTTCCAGGCCAGGGCTTTTAAGAAAGTAGGTGTGCCTTTGCACTTTCTTATTTACTCTTCTGCCAGCCAGAGGCAGAAGGCACCAAGGCCTGCGGAGATGCTAGTGGTGCCAGGGGAAAGAGTCTGGGTCTCTGAATCACCACATGCAAGAAGCCACCTGCCAATCAGGCATTGGACCACAATACAGATGACAAACAAACATCTATTATGTAAAGCCATTGAAATTTATATAACCAGCATTACCACAATCAATTATCTGCACCCCCCCGCCCCCGCCCCAGCCCACCGCCCAGGTACACAGAGCTCCCAACTACTGGCAGATATTCCATGGGAAAACAGACTTATATACATCAGAGTAAGAAACTCCTAAAAGCTACTTAGAAGTCTCATTCTAAAATATGATGGACAACTAAAGATCACAAGAAAGAAAACAAGCAACATAAAAAAGAAAGACCAAGATAAACAGTATTCATCCTAAGAAAAGAGCAGAGATTATCTATGGAATAGAAAAAATTACATTTTTAATTACTGTTCTCAGAGACATTTGAAAAGACACTGCTTCCATGAAACTACGACTGGATACTCCTACACCCTGCCCTGACTTCACACACACAAACCAAAATAAAAATCCAAAAGAAGAAAGAGTTCTGGGAAATTAAGCATATAATTGCTGACATTTTAAAAATCGAAGGGTTGAAAGACAGCCTAGACCCTCTCCTGGAACATAAAGCAAAAGATGAAAAGAGAGGAAATGTCAGAAGAAAGACGAAACAGAATAAATCCAGAAGATCCTATATCCAGCAAATAGAAGTTCCAAAAAGAAAAAAAACAAGGAATGAAATATCTTTTAAAGCTTTAGTATGTATGTGAGTACACACACACACACACACACTCTCTCTCTCTATATATATATATATGTATATATGTCTCATCGAGAGTTAAAGAAAGATGTAACTATTCCTAGTGAAGGGTGTAAATGAGTACTAGGCAAAATGAATGAAAAAAGATCAACTAGACATCACATTATGAAATTCTGGAAGATTAAATATTAAGAGATTTTTAAGTTAATTAATTTCTTTACTGTGGTAAGAACACATAAGACCTACCTTCTGAAAAAAATTTAAGTTTACAGTACTATTAACTGTAAACACAATGCTATACAGCAGATCTCTAGAACTTAATCATCTTGCATAACTGAAGCTTTATATCCACTGGGCAGCCCTCTCTATTTCCCCTCCCTCAGCCCCTGGCAGCCACCATTCTACTCTCTGCCATAGAAATGAACAACTAGCTTATTTCACTTAGCGTAATGTCCTCCAGATTCATCCATGTTGTCACAAATGACTGGATTTCCTTTTTTATGACTGAATAATATTCCATTTTATGTATATAGCAAAGTTTCTTGATCCATTTATCTATCAATGGACATGTAGATTGTTTCCACATCTAGGCTATTGGGAATAGTGTTGCAATGAACATGGGAAGACTCTAGAGAGGAAGAGAAAAAAGATCACCTACCAAGGAACAATAATACACCAGCATCAAGCTGCTGCTTCTTTTCGTTTTTTCCTCCAAGACACAGTCTTGCTCACCTTAGCCTCCTGCGTAGCTGGGACTACAAGCATGAGCCACAACACCCAGCTAAGTTTTGGCATTTTTTGTAAAGACAGGATTTTGCCATGTTGCCCAGGCTGGTCATGAACTCCTGGGCTCAAGCGATCCTTTCACCTCAGTCTTCCAAAGTGCTGGGATTACAGGCTTGAGCCACCGTGCCCGGCCCAAGCTTATTAGTAATACTCCATGCTAAAGACAGCAGAACAATTCCTTCACAGTTCTGAAGGGAAAAAATGTTTGAATATAGAATGTTGTACTCCACCTAACTATAAATCAATGTGAAGGCATACTAAAGACATTTTCAGATTTTCAATTACTCAGAAATTTCATCTCCCGTCTGTTTTTTCTGACGAAGATACTTTTGGAGATATTCCAGAGAAGTGAAGTGCAAACCAACAGAGGAAGATATGGAATACAAGAAAGAGTAGAACTCACTCAGGAGTATAATGAAAAATCATTTCAGAGTGACAGCTGTGCATAGGGTTTACAAAACAATCTAAATCAGGAGAGGGAGTCAGTGGGTCCCAAGTATAACATTAATACTATCTTCAGGAAGAAAAATGAAATGTAGTTTACACAAAACATAGAATGACCATGAAAATAGATGATATCAGTGACATGGTGAAGAAAACATATGTTTCTTCTCTCAGCAAGATAAAAGAAAGATAATTGGAAATTCCAGGAAAAAAAAAAACGACAAGAATTATATAGAAAAGTCAAGATACAAATATGAAGCCAGCTAAAATGTAGCACAATTTTCAGCAATTTCTGTAACTATGAAAGAGAATTTATTTAATTTAGACTCTAAAATATCCTTCTTCAAAGAGCCCAGAGGTCATGGTCTTGGACCTATAGAAAAGGAAATGTAATTTTTGCATATTATTTGCCTATGCAATGAATATTAATTAAATAGTCATAATAACATAAATTGGGGGGTTATGTTGATATTTAACTCCCAGAATCAAACTGTAAGCAACAGTTTATAAAAGATGGGTTACAATAAAGAAAGAATTTGGCATTAACTCTGAAAACATAAAAACAAAAGTCTAGGCCAGACCCGATGGCTCACGCCTGGAATGCCAACACTTTGGGAGGCCAGGGTGGGTGGATCATTTGAACTCAGGAGTTCAAGACCAGCCTGGGAAACATGGTGAAATCTCATCTCTACAAAAAATACAAAAATTAGCCTGGCATGATGGAACTTGCCTATAGTCCCAGCTATTTGGGAAGCTGAGGCAGGAGGATTGCTTGAGCCCAGAAGGTGGAGGTTGCAGTAAGCCAAGATCACGCCACTGCACTCCAGCCTGGGTAACAGAGCAAGACCCTGTTTCAGGAGAAAAAAATAATAATAATATTCTTGACAGAATATTATGGTAGGTGGAAGGGTAGAAGGTGGAAGAAAGGAGAAAAGGGCCAATAGTCTCATCAGCATATCTCCAGAATGTGACCTCTTCTCACCAACTCCACGAGTATCTCCTGGTCAGCACTACCAGCATCTCTGTCTTGACGACTGTAAAAGCCTCCCGACTACTCCCCTGCCTCCCCCTATGCCTTCCTACAGTTCTCAACATGGAAGCTATACATATCCACAAGTCAGACCGTGTCACTCTGCTCAAAACCTTGCAATGGCTTCTCATTGTACCCAACGTAAAAGCAAAAATTCTTTATATTGATCCACATAGCCCTATATCATCTCACCCTGTTATCTCTCTGACCTCATCCTCCACCACGCTGCCCTTTGCTCACTCCATTCTAGCCCTACTAGCCACCTGTAATCCTTGAATGTGCCAGGCACACTCCTTCCTTGCAGCCTTTGCTGTTGCCTCTGCCTGGAACTCTCTTCCCTAAAATGCTTACATGAATAACATCCTCCCTGCCTTTATGTCTGCTCAAACATCATCTCTCAATGAAGTTAAATCTGACCATCCGATTTAAAATCATTATTCCCACTTTCCAGATTCCTGAACTATCTTTTCCTGTCTTACTTTTTTTAATTTTGAATGTATCAATGTCTACTATATAATTTCTGTATCTGAACACCCCATCAATGTCTACTATATAATTTCTGTATCTGAACACCCCTACCCCCAACTACCATGTAAGTGCCAATGAGCCTGAGAGCTCTGTTTTGTTCACTGAGCACTTAGAACAGTGCCTGTCGCCATACTAAGTATCCAATAAATAATCATGATTATATAAATATAGCCTGGGAGTCAAGAGGTATTATATATGGCTGATGGGACAAAAACTAGAGGTTTAAGTGTTTTATTTAAAGGTATAAAAGCAACCAAGAATAAAACTATAATAATAGCTATCAAAAACTGGGAGAGGGTAGCTAAATCCTTGTTTTTATTATAGAGAATAAGTACAATACATAGAAATAAAGTCTTGAAAGATACACACCAAATTACTTTCAGTTGTAACTTTGCAGGAGGCAGTTTAAAGGAATAAAGGGATAAAAATCAGTGATTAAAAATTTTAATCTTGGTCAGGCACGGTGGCTCATACCTATAATCCCAGCACTTTGGGAGGCAGAAGTGGGAGGATCGCTTGAGCCCAGGAGTTCGAGACCAGCCTGGGCAACATAGTGAGACCCTGTCTCTACAAAAAATGAAAAAATTAGCCAGGCACGGGGGCACATGCCTGTAGTCCCAGCTACCCAAGGGGCCGAGGTGGAAGGATCCACTGAGCTTGGAAGGTCAAGGCTATAGTGAGCCATGGTCACACTACTGCACTCCAGCCTAGGCAACAGAGTAAAACCCGTCTCAAAAATATGTAATTTTTTTTATCAAAAAAGGGAGGCGGTTTTCCTCTGGAAAGTGGGACTGGGAAGTGTGGCAGACAGCTGTTGTTTTTCAGTATAAACTCCTCAGCACTACCTTATTTTTACTATGTATACAATTACTTTGATGAAAATTAAAAGACAATAAATTTTATTTCTTTTTTTTGCTAATCAGCTGACTTTAGAAAATACATTTTTAAGGAAGCAAAGGAATAAGCAGTTCCAGGTTCACTCTAGTACATAAACAAATATCCAATAGATTCCCCAAAGTACCATACTTCATGACTGAGATGATGTTGGCCTTGGAAATTTTCAAAGTGGATGTTACAAGCTGATCACTATGGCTGTAAAAATAAAAGGAGATATAACAACATTAAACATTTGGTTTTAGGTACTTTAACTTCCTGATATGTACCTGTATGGATTTCAAATTTTTCCTCTATTATCTAAGATAGTCACTGTTTGAAAGCCAAGGCCTCCTCTCCCATCCGTTATCTGCTAGGGGATTAGTATAGCATTTTAACATTTGATCTTATTTTCTCCCTTCTGGATCATGTGGATTGGCTTCGCCACCGTATGAGTTTGCCAAAAGCGAGAGTAACATGCCAAACCAAACATCTGTCACTAAACTGCAGGAGATTTATTATTTTTACCTAAAAGAATACTTGCTACATCAAGAATACTGTAGTCATTAAGCCAGATGAGGCCCTAGGCCAGGTGGATGGTGTGACCATGGACACCAAGGTCTCAGAGAACACCCTGCTCTTCCCACTCACAGAGCCCTGAAGGACCCAGCCTCTCCTAGTGGAGTGCTGTCAAGAAAGACAACTAAAAGGAAAGTTCTGATGAGGGGATATGCAAGTCTACAAAGAGTTACTCGAGTCACTTTTATAGTTTCTACAAAATTTAAAGACTGAGAATAAAAAAGGCCCTCAGCCACTTGTTCATTGGTCAGCCCTAGCATCTAACATAAATGCTCTTCCACAACCCCTAGCAAGGCAGGAGGGGGTAATAAAGACAGCTTTTGGCAAGACCTCAGGAGAAAGAGAAATTTTGATTCTCAACACTGTATCCCAGGAGGGTAGGGAAGAAAATAGAAAATTAATACCAAAGGACAGTGTTTCTATATCTCCACAGCATATCTTTAGGATGGGAATCAGGCTGTTACCTTAGTTTCAAAGATCAACTTCCAATAGCAAAGGTAAGGTGACAAGCCATTCAAGGTATTTAAAACATAAGCACTAAAATTTTATCCATGCATTTATGTGTGTGCTTTTGAAAAAAAAGGCCTGTCACTATATTGCAGTCCCCACTGGATAAATATATTTTTTACTAAGTTTATTAGACATATAACAATTTTAGAAGACATCTGTCAAAGACAGTAACTTTAGTTTTAGAACTGTTAATATTATGCCATTTATTTTCTAACAGTGTTTATTATGCAAGGACTGATTGCCTGTTGAGGTCATTCTTGGTTCTCAAAACGAAAACCATATTATTATATAATTACCCAGACTCCCCCTGCACCATTATCTAAAAGAGTGGGACAAAGGATCGGAAGGTGACCTAGCAAAACAAGTACTTTGTTTTAGAGCCTTTACACTTCAGAAAAATCACTCCCGTGATGCTCAGAGCTTTCAATGCTATTAAATCACAGTTTTCTGGCCAGGCACAGTGGCTCATGCCCGTAATTCCAACACTTTGGGAGGCCAAGGCAGGAGGATGGCTTGAGGCCAGAAGTTCAAGACCAGCCTGGGCAACATAGTGAGAACCCATCTCTACAATTAAAAAAATGCAAAAATTAGCCGGACATGTGCACACACCGGTAGTCGCAGCTACTCTAGAGGCTGAAGTGGCAGGATCACTTGAGCCAAAGAGCTCAAGGCTGCAGTGAACTATGATTGCATCACTGCACTCCAGCCCAGACAACAGTGAGACCCTGTCTCTAAAAAATAAAATAAAATGCATACTTTTTGAAGCATCAGTAACCAGGAATCTCTATTAAGCTTGTATACCATTCTTGTCCTGCTCAAACTCAGTCATCTCAATTCCAACCAGATGTCCAAACCAGAACCCTGGGAGCGATTCTTGTCCTCTCCCTCTGCCTCAGTCTCCATATCCAATCATCCCCCACAAAGCCCTGTTGAATATCATTCTAAAATACATCATGAGCTTTTTCACGCTCTCTGGTTAAAGGTAGTCCAAGTCAACACTGTCTTACATTGGGGCTGCTACAATCAGAATTTTTTAAATAAAAATAGTAGCAAACACCTTATAATCCTTACTATGGGTCAGGTACCCCTCTAAGTGCTTTAAATGCATTAGCTGATTTATTCTTCTCAATAACCCTATAAAGCATTCTAGCACCACTTGAAGATGAAGAAACTGATGCACAGAGAAGTTAACTGACTTTCCCAATATCACACAGCTAGGAAGTGGAGGAGCCAGCTGTCCCCTCCTCACTGACCCTTTGCACTCACACCTGCCATCCTCCGGTCTGATTTCCACACAGCAACCAGTGTGATTGTTTAAACAAGTAACTTTTATACAGAACCAGAAACCTTGAAGTGAGAACAGAAAACAACTTTATTCTTTTCTTCCCAACAGCCTGATCAAACCGGCTCTGCAGGACAGGTTCTTTCCTGGCGCCTGGGGCAAGTCCCTTGACTTTTTTTTGGTGCTGTCAGTTAATACGAATTCTCTCTTTCAGTCGCAAAATGGTCTCATTTCAATAATAAAAATGCCCAGTTCAGCGTGTTGGTTGAAACACTGAATTTCATTACAGTTAATGCTTCCTCCCCACCACCCACCCAAACCCCAAACCTGCTAGGGCTGGCGGCCTTTGTGGTGGGGCTGGCTCCTCTCTCCTGGCCTCCTCCTCTTCATTGTCTCAGCCGCTTCAGCCAGCCAAGGTTGGAGGGGCCAGGAAAGAGAGATAAGAAACAGAAAAGATCTTGTGTGACAGACACAGGCGTAATCTACCATTGACAGACTCTGGCCGTGGCAGGTGTTTAAAGCTGACTCTTACTCTCAGGACTTTTTTTTTTTTTTTTTTTTTTTTTGAAACGGAGTCTCGCTTTGTCGCCCAGGCTGGAGTGCGGTGGCGCATCAGCTCACCGCAAGCTCCGCCTCCTGGGTTCACGCCATTCTCCTGCCTCAGCCTCCCGAGTAGCTGGGACTACAGGCGCCCGTCACCACGCCCGGCTAATTTTTTTGTATTTTTTAGTAGAGACGGGGTTTCACCGTGTTAGCCAGGATGGTCTCGATCTCCTCACCCTAGATAGTCCTCTGTAAGTTCCGCTGATTGGAGCTCATTGAAATAGGCAAAGCCTCGACCTTAGCTGGATGCTTACATACCCACTCCAGCCCCACGTTCAGCTTCTGAATCTGAAGACACGTCTCCAGCCTCTGTCTGCTAAGGTTGTCTGGTGTGGACAGAAGTTCTCTTAAGCATGATCCCCTTTTAAATGACCGCACGTATATATTCCTCCCAAGGATTTCATACCTTGGAGCTGCCAATGCAAACTGTCAATACTAGTTAACTTTCCAAATGCAGTTCCTTACTTTGATGACAGTAAGCTATTTACCAGGTATTTCTGTGACCCATGGACTCCAGAGGCTACAGGTCAAACCTTCCATGTGGTCTCCTTGGAGCACCCCTCACTAGCACACCTGAGGCAAGGTAAAAATACCTGTCCTACCAATCTCTCATGGGGTTGTAGGGAAGACATGATGCATTGGAGATTCTTTCAATGGGAATTTCCAAAACTCAACTATCTCCTTGGCCTTTTCAATTTTAGTTCCTATATAGCCTTAAGATAGGCAGAGGGGTGAAGATCCACAGAAGTGGTTTCAGCACCTCTTTCATAATTCTGCCATAGATGATCTCACTCACTGCACTTTGAAATGTGGGGGTAATTAGGCCCTCAGCTGCAGTGAATCAGGAAGAGTCCCATTTTAACACTCTGTTAGAAATACCACATCATGCCTTTCCATCGCTATTAGCATTAAATACTAAAAAACACTAATCATACTATGTCCTTCCACTGCTATTGCGATTAAACGCTAACTCTTTACCACATTCTATGGAGCACTGCATGATATGGGCCTTGCCTACCTGTCTAGCCTTGTTTCATAACTCTCTTTTCAGGTTCAGCTGCATTGGTCTTCTTGCAGGTCCTTGGATTCTCTAAGCTCTTTCCTACCTCAGGACCTTCATACATGCCTAGGAGATTCTTCCTCCTACCACTCTTGTCCTCATTTGTTAGGTCTCAGCTTAAATATTATCTCATAGCAAAGGATTTTCCTGAAGTATTATAGCTCTCTGCCCCCAGCCAACTATTCTCATTCATATATATTATTTAACTTTACAGCATTTACCACAAATTGTAAATGTGTGATTGTGTATTTTCTTTTTTTTTTTCTTTTTTTTTTTTTAATTGATCATTCTTGGGTGTTTCTCGCAGAGGGGGATTTGGCAGGGTCACAGGACAATAGTGGAGGGAAGGTCAGCAGATAAACATGTGAACAGAGGTCTCTGGTTTTCCTAGGCAGAGGACCCTGCGGCCTTCCGCAGTGTTTGTGTCCCTGGGTACTTGAGATTAGGGAGTGGTGATGACTTTTAACGAGCATGCTGCCTTCAAGCATCTGTTTAACAAAGCACATCTTGCACCGCCCTTAATCCATTTAACCCTGAGTGGACACAGCACATGTTTCAGAGAGCACAGGGTTGGGGGCAAGGTCACAGATCAACAGGATCCCAAGGAAGAAGAATTTTTCTTAGTACAGCACAAAAGGAAAAGTCTCCCATGTCTACCTCTTTCTACACAGACACGACAACCATCCAATTTCTCAATCTTTTCCCCACTTTTCCCCCCTTTCTATTCTACAAAACCGCCATTGTCATCCTGGCCCGTTCTCAATGAGCTGTTGGGTACACCTCCCAGCCGGGGTGGCAGCCGGGCAGAGGGGCTCCTCACTTCCCAGTAGGGGCGGCCGGGCAGAAGCACCCCTCACCTCCCGGACGGGGCGGCTGGCCGGGCGGGTGGCTGACCCCCCCACCTCTCTCCCTGACGGGGCGGCTGGCCGGGCGGGGGCTGACCCCCACCTCCCTCCCGGACAGGGTGGCTGCCAGGCGGAGACGCTCCTCACTTCCCAGACGGGGTGGCTGCCGGGCGGAGGGGCTCCTCACTTCTCAGACGGGGCGGCCTGGCAGAGACGCTCCTCACATCCCAGACGGGGCAGCAGGGCAGAGGCGCTCCCCACATCTCAGACGATGGGCGGCCAGGCAGAGACGCTCCTCACTTCCTAGATGGGATGGTGGCCAGGCAGAGACGCTCCTCACTTCCCAGATAGGGTGGCGGCCGGGCAGAGGCTGCAATCTCGGCACTTTGGGAGGCCAAGGCAGGCGGCTGGGAGGTGGAGGTTGTAGTGAGCCAAGATCACGCCACTGCACTCCAGCCTGGGCACCATTGAGCACTGAGTGAACGACACTCTGTCTGCAATCCTGGCACCTCGGGAAGCCGAGGCTGGCGGATCACTTGTGGTTAGGAGCTGGAGACCAGCCCGGCCAACACAGCGAAACCCCGTCTCCACCAAAAAAATACGAAAACCAGTCAGGCGTGGTGGCGCGCGCCTGCAGTCGCAGGCACTCGGCAGGCTGAGGCAGGAGAACCAGGCAGGGGGGTTGCAGTGAGCGGAGATGGCAGCAGTACAGTCCAGCTTCAGCTCTGCATCAGAGGGAGACCGTGGAAAGAGAGGGAGAGGAGGGAGAGGAGGGAGAGGAGGGAGAGGAGGGAGAGGAGGGAGACGGGAGAGGGAGAGGGAGAGGGAGAGGGAGAGGGAGAGGAGGGAGAGGAGGGAGAGGAGGGAGAGAGCGTGATTGTGTATTTTCAAGTTTATGGCCATATGGCCAGAAACTGGTTAATGATTTACTAAATTATTTCTGTTTTCCTACTGGACATACAGTTGAACTACATATCCCAGCCTCCCTTGCAGTTAGGTACAGCCATATGACTGTTGTAGTCAATGGAATGTAGGTAGAAAAAGAACACACTTCCAGGCCTGGCCTGTAAAATCTTGCCACATCTGATCCCCTATTCTTTTTTTCCATTCACCGCCTTAATAGAGAAGATTTCAAAGACCCAGAAAAGCATACAATCACAAGAGGAAAGTGATCTGAGTTAGTGCTTAGAGGAGAGAGTCCAGTATAGTCAAGATATCAGCAGCAGCCTCACTGGACTATTGCTTGAGCAAAAAACAAATTTTTATTAGGTTAAGTCATTGAATTTTCTCTTATAGAAGTATTCCAGCAAGTAAATTGAAGAAAGAATGACAGAATTAGATTACCACTATATTAAACCCTAATGAATTCATGAATCTAGACAATGATCATCAATGGCTATTATTTGTGATGGGAAGAAGAAGAAGAAGAATATTCACAGAATATTAAATATATTTCATTGCATCCTGGGCTCTCTTTTCTTTCTTTTGTTTTTCAATTTTTATTTTAGATTCCAGGGTACACATGCAGGTTTGTTAGAAAGGCATATTGCATGATGCTGGGGTTTGGAGTATGATTAAACCCACCACCCAGGAAGTGAGCATAGAACCCAATAGGTATTTTTTCAACCTTTGCCCCCCTTCCTTCCCACTCTTGTATTTCCAAGTGTCTATTGTTCTCCTCCTTATGTCCATGTGTACCCCATGTTTAGCTCCCACTTATAAGTGAGAACATGTGTTATTTGATTTTCTGTTTCTTCATTACTTCAGCTGCATCCATGTTGCTGCAAAGAACATGGTTTCATTCTTTTTTATGGCTGTACAGTAATCCATGGTATATAAGCATTAATACCACATTTTCTTTATCCAATCCACTGTTGATGGGCACCTGGGCGGGGTCCATGTCTTTGCTATTGTGAATAGTGCTGCAATGAACATACAGGTGCATGTGTCTTTTTAGTAGAATGATTTATTTTCCTTTGGGTATAAACTCAGTAATGTCATTGCTTGGTTGAATAGTAGTTCAATTCTTATTTCTTTGAGAAATCTCCAAACTGCTCTCCCCAGAGGCTGAACAAATTTGCATTCCCAGCAACAATGTGTAAGCATTTCCTTTTCTCCACAGCCCCACCAACATCTGTTATTTTTTGGCATTTTAACAAAACCCATTCTGACAAGTGTGAGATGGTATCTCATTGTGGATTTGATTTGCATTTCTCTGATGATTAGTGATGAGCATTTTTTCATGTTCGTTGGCTGCTTGTATATCTTTTTTTAAGAAGTGTCTTTTCATGTCCTTTGCCCATTTTTAATAGGGTTATTTGTTTTTTGCTTGTTGATTTAAGTTCCTTATAGATTCTGCATATTAGACTTTTGTCAGATACATAGCTTGCAAATATTTCCTGCCATTCTCTAGGTCATCTATTTACTCCATTGATAGTTTCTCTTGCTATTCAGAAGCTCCTCAGTTTAATTAGGTCCCACTTGTCAATTTTAGCTTTTATTGCAATTGCTTTTGAGGACTTAGTCATAAATTCTTTGCCAAGGCTGATGTTGAGAAGGATATTTCCTAGGCTTTCTTCTGTTATAGTTTCAGGTCTTACATTTAAGTCTTTAATCCATCTTGAGTTAATCTTTGTATATGGTAAGAGATAGGGGTCCAGATTCACTCTTCTGCATATGGACAGCCAGTTATCCAGACACCATTTATTGAATAGAGTCCTTTTCCCACTGCTTACTAGCGGTAGATGTGTGGCTTTATTTTTGGGTTCTCTATTCTGTTCCTTCCATTGGTGATTTTCTATTTTTGTACCAGCATCATGCTTTTTTTGGTTACCATAGCCTTGCAGTACAGTTTGAAGTCAGGTAATGTGATGTCTCTGACTTTGTTCTTTTTGCTTAGGATGCTTTGGCTATGTGAGCTTTTTTGGTTCCATACAAATTTTAGAATAGTCTTTTCTATTTCTGTGAAAAATGAAGTTAGTAGTTTGATAGGAATAGTGGGCTCTTTTTTCTATTTATATTCACCTCCAGATGATCACATTTGGTCCCAGCCTTTTCATACATCTAGCCATTGACAACTTCCACATTTTTATCTCCAGAGCTATTAATTCCAGTGAAGTTCTGGATTTCTATATTCAACTGCCTCCTCAAAGTCTCTACTTGGCTGTCTAAAAATTTCTCAAGTTTAACATGTACACAACAGAACTCTTTACTTCTCTCCAAAAACCTCCTCCCACAGTCTTCCACATGTGAGCAGATGAATCTAAGCCACCATCATATCTCATCCAGTGATAGCTGATGTCCATATAATGAGTTCTTCACACAACATCTAGGGTGCATGAACTTTTCAAAATTCAAATCAGA